>NC_000001.11:54402319-54553835 GCF_000001405.40 Homo sapiens | reverse complement strand
TCACTCAGACATCAATCTTAAAAAGTTGATTTCATGGAAATAGAGTATAATGCTGCTTATCAGAGGCAGGGGTTGTTGGGGGGATGGAGAGATCTTAGTCAGAGGATGCATAATTACACTTAGGAGGAATAAATTTCAAGAGATCTATTATACAGTAAGGTGATATGGTTAATGACAATATATTGTATTCTTGAAAAATGCAGAGTAGATGTTCTGCACTATCACCAAAAAAATGAAAACTATGTGAGGTAATGTATCTGTTAATTAGATTTAGTCATAACATAATGTATACGTACTTCAAAACATCATTTGTACATGATAAAAACATAGAATATTACCTGTCCATTTTTTTTTTTTAATGTTTTTTTGAGACAGAGTCTTGTTCGGTCACCCAGGCTGGAGTGCAGTGGCGCGATCTCGGCTCACTGCAACCTCCACCTCCCAGGTTCAACTGGGCACATCCAGCTTATTTTTGTATTTTTAATAGAGACACAGTTTCTCCATGTTGGTCAGGCTGGTCTCAAACTCCTGACCTCAAGTAATCCACCGACCTCGGCCTCCCAAAGTGTTGGGATTATAGGTATGAGCCACCATGCCTGGCCCATTAAAAAAAAATTTTTTAATGAGGTAATCATTCCCTTATGCTATGCATATTAAAATAAAATTTTGGAGAGCAAAAAAAGAGTCCTCCAGATAAATTAAGAACACTGGCCGGGCATGGTGGTTCACGCCTGTAATCCCAGCACTTTGGGAGGCCTAGGCGGGTGGCTCACCTGAGGTCGGAAGTTCGAGACCAGCCTGACCAACATGGAGAAACCCCATCTCTACTAAAAATGCAAAATTAGCCAGGCATGGTGGCACATGCCTGTAATCCCAGCTACTTGGGAGGCTGAGGCAGGAGAATCGCTTGAACCTGGGAGGCAGAGGTTGCGGTGAGCCAAAATAGCACCACTGCACTCCAGCCTGGGCAACAAGAGCGAAACTCCGTCTCAAAAAAAAAAAAAACAAAACAAAAACAAACAACAACAACAACAACAACACTAAGAGTGGGCCGGGCATGGTGGCTCATGCCTGTAATCCCAGCATTTTGGGAGGCCAAGGCAGGCAGAACACCTGAGGTCAGGAGTTCAAGACCAGCCTGGCCAACATGGTGAAACCCCGTCTCTACTAAAAATAGAAAAAATTAGCCGATGGCACGCACCTGTAGTCCCAGCTACTCAGGAGGCCGAGAAATGAGAATCGCTTGAACCAGAGAGGTGGAGGTTGCAGTTAGCTGAGATGGCACCACTGTACTCCAGCACTCCAGCCTGGGAGACAGAGTGAGACTCTGCCTCAAAAACAAACAAACAAAAAAAACACTAAGAGTGTCTGCCCATGGCTGAGGCTGGGGGTTCACATATGGCTCCTGAACAGGCTGATGCTACATGTTCAAGTCTCACCTCTTCCTCCAGGAAGCCTTCTAGGACCACCTCAGCCTGCTTCTGAGCACCTGTGGTCACTCATTCATTCAGCAGTTTTGGGACTCCTCGTATATGATAGGCCCATCATTTTATGTCTAAGGTCTCCCCACCTCCAACACAGAGTAGGGTCCTCAAGAGAGACGGGACCCTGCCTCTCACTGTCAGGATCAACTTCATGGTGGCAGACAAACCCTTCACAAACATTCAGAGCCCCAGGATGTCCAGGCTGGTGGGGACCTCAGGGATCACCCAGCACCCTAAGGCCTAGAGAGAGGAACCCCTGGCCAAAGGTCACACCGTGAACCGTGGGGTGAACATCCAACTGTTGTGCCTGAACCTCCCCACACTCTGGGTTAGACCCCTTATGAAGCTGAGAGGTTGTGGGGAGCCCTCCAGCTGTCCTCAGGTTCAAGGTAAAACAGTAGGATTGCATTGTGTGGTTGGAGGCTAATACAAAAATTAGCTGGGTGTGGTGGTGGGCACCTGTAATCCCAGCTACTCCGGAGGCTGAGGCAGGAGAATTCCTTGAATCCAGGAGGCAGAGGCTGCAGTGAGCCAAGATTACACCACCGCACTCCTGGGTGACAGAATGAGACTCCATCTCAAAACAAAAACAAAAACAAAAACAAAAACAAAAACAAAACAAAACAAAAACAAAAACAAAACAAAAACAGCCAGCCCCATCACCATTTCTGGAGTAAAAAAAGCTTCTGAGCCCCACTGAGAGCTGACCTGGGCCAGGCTAGACCTGAGGCTGGGCAGAGGTTCCCAGGCTTCCCAGGACCCTTGCCCACCTCCTACGAGGGCACCAGTGGGTCCCTGCTAGCCCAGAAATGTGAGACTCAGTGCCCAGTGTAGACTGACATCTTGGAAAGGGAAAGAAGAGCTCTCCACGGGGAGAGGCAAGGATTGAAGCGGGACAGGGAGACCTTTCCCGCACCACCACACTGCACTCAGCAGTTCTCCCAGCCCCGAGCGTGGCAGCAGGCTGACCACTTCATTCAGTCGCCCACTCACTTGCTGGGTACCCAGGGGCGAGTAGGGACCAGAGCCCTTGAACTCCAATGCTGACTCTGTCTACAGTGCCACAGGACACTGAAAATGGCCCCCAACCATGCAAAGTGGGGCTTGTGGATTATCTGAGACCCCCTCTTCTGTTCCCAGTTTAGTCCCTATTAAAGACAATTTGGTGAGTTTTTTGTTGTTGCTGTTGCTGGTTTTTTTTCTTTTTTTTTTTTTTTTTTTGAGACCACTGTCGCCCAGGCTGGAGTGCAGTGGTGTGATCTCAGCTCACTGCAACCTCTGCCTCCTGGGTTCAAGCAATTCTCCTGCCTCGGCATCCCGAGTAGCTGGGACTATAGGAGCATGCCACCATGCCCAGCTAATTTTTGTATTTTTGGTAGAGATGGGGTTTCACCATGTTGGCCGAGCTGGTCTCGAACTCCTGGCCTCAAGTGATCCACCCGTCTCGGCCTCCCAAAGTGCTGGGATTACAGGCATGGGTCACCACACCCAGCTTGGTGGGGTTTTTTGTTTGTTTTTGTTTTTGTTTTGAGACAGGATCTCACTCTGTCATCCAGGCTAGAGTACAGTAGCATGATCTTGGCTCACTGCAGCCTCCGCCTCCCAGGCAGGCTCAAGTGATCCTCCCACCTCAGCCTCCCGAGTAGCTGGGTCCACAGGTGCACACCACTATGCCCAGCTATTTTTTTTTTCGTATTTTTGGTAGAGATGGGGTTTCACCATGTTGGCCTAGCTAGTCTCAAACTCCTGAGCTCAAGCAATTCACCTGCCTCAGCCTCCCAAAGTGCTAGGATGACAGGTGTGAGCCACCACAGCTGGCCAGGGATTGTTTATTTGTTTGCTTGTTTGCTTTTCATTAAAAACAGCTTTGGTACCAAGCCAGAAAATGTTCCCAAACCCTCTTGTATTCCAGAGGAACTAAGGGAATTCAAGAGAAATCCAAAGAGATCTGCCATCCAGACAATGGTGCAGAGGTGGCAATCAAGGCCAGAGTGTTCTTAGCTGACAGGAGGCTACCTGTGTCCTCAAGAGCCCAACTTCCACTCCCAATACCCACCTCCACCCCCAGACTCAACAAAGGTAGTGCAAGGAAGCTGAATGCCAGCTGGGCTCAGAGTCAGGACGTGTGGGTTGGAATCCCACATCTGCGCCTTCATCTGGCTGAGCCTCAGGCTCCTTAAGAGCTCAGACTCTGGGGCCAAACTGCTGGGTTCTAATCCCAGCTCTGCCACTTCCTACCAGTGTGATCTTGGGCAAGTCACTTACCCTCTGTGAGGGTCCTTATCTGGGATACGGGGATGATAACTGTACCTACCTCATAGAGAACTGAATGAGTTCATAAATGCAAAGAGCTATGTGAAGATTTGTTACTATTGTTATCTCTGTAAAACAGTGATAACGATATGCCTCTTCCCCAGTGCCTTGCCCCCAGTTACTGATGAAGGAAAAAGTCATAAAGGGTTAAATACAACAGGGCACAAGAGAAGATACGAGGAGCCCCTCCCTCCTGGGAGACACTCTGCCCTGCACTCAGGTGACAAGAGCAAGCGGCCCTGCTACTCAGATCCCACCCTTAGCCTCGCTGCTGAAAAGCTGCCTGTCCCCATTCATTCATTAAGCATTCCCTGGCCTCTGGCCACACCCGTCCCCGTGCTGGGTATACCAAGAGCAGCCTCGTGTTGCTCCCTGGCTGGTGGGAGGGATGTATGTGCCAGTCTAGCACACAATCCAGTGTGAAAAGGGGCTAACACAGAGGCTCATGGTGTCATGAGAAATCTGAGAAGGACTTCCAGAGGAGGCAGCACCTGAGCTGAGATCTGAGGGCTCAGAAGGAACTTGCTGGGGACACAAGTTTGGGGAGATGCAGGAAGGCTGGGGGTAACTCCGGCAGAAGACATAGCAAGTACAACAGCCTGGAGGAGAGAACAAAAGTGGGACACCGAAGCCGCGGAGAGCAGCTCACTATGGCTGAAGCAGGGACAGCAGAGGGGTGGGGATGGTGGAAGAAAAAGGGAGGCATGGGCAGGAGCCAGAGTGCCAACATCCCTTCGTCTCAAGTAAGGGATGTGAAAATCATCCTCGGGTAGCCGTGTGAGCAGGTGAGGAGTCAGCACATTTACTTTTTAGAAGCATCCCTCCAGTGTGGAGAGTGGACTGAAAGGGGCTGACATGGAATGGGGGAGCCAGGGGAGACAAGATGCACAGGGCCCGGTGAGGATGCTGAGTTGTGCAGTGGCTGTGCAGATGGAGGGAGAGGATAGATAAGACATTTAATTGTTCCAGCCCCTTTAAAAAAAGGCTTTTCCTGAAAATATCCTCAGAGGTCAGCCTCTGCCAGTCTTACAACCTCTGCCAGTCTGTCCTGAGCCCATCTCCATACACTCCATCCACTGCCAGGCGCTGCTGGGCACTTGGGTCTGCCGTGTGCCTCAGCAACTAATCTCAGCTCCAAAGCGCAGGGAAAAGTTCTCTTCAAGGTCACCTTGCAGGACAGCTTTCCGCAGCCGTCATGTGATCCTGTGCTTGCTCTCCCCAAGAGGTTCTGCTCCCCAAGAACGCCGACCTCACCCCACCACACATACTCACTCACACCCATACCTCACACCCTGTCACTCCCATCAGCTTTGTGGCTTTGGGGTCCTGAGCTCTGAGCATGAAGCACCACAAGGCCATGGAGCTCAGACATCCCCCAGAAACATACACAGAACTCTGCAGGGAGAAACATACACCCACCGAATAGAATTCCAGAGGCCGACACTTGCTGAAGGTGATTCCACTCTACACAGCCAGCCCGTGGGGGATCTGACAGCCCCTGGGGCTTGTTTGGAGATTGCTGCTGATAATAAACCAGCCCAGGGGTTCTGCGATTTCTCCTTCCAAAGAGAGCTAGAAAATGGCCCGTGGAGAGTGTGAGGAGATGCAGAGCGTCTGAGTTAAAATGGAAACATCAATCTCTTTCTGGGTGCCCAGCTTCCAGAGCCCTCCCGCTGCCCCAGCCCACCCTCCATACCCGTCGCAGGTGATTTCCGACATTCTGGATCATCGCGCCGGGTGGCCGGGGAAAGCAGCGCCCTCCCAGAGACACAAGCTGGTCACCTGAGCAACAGCCAGGCCTGACTCCAAATGAAGCCTGTGGGCCTCTCCTGCTCCTCCTCCCCAGCTCCCGCCCGCCCACCAGAGCCAGCTGTTATCACCCCGCGTCCCGCCTCTCTTCAGACTGCCCTCTACCCCCCTTCTCCTAGGAGCCCTGCACAGAAAGCTCCAGTGCCCGCCTAGCGGAGAGGAAGGACGAGGCTGCCAGCTAGGCCACAGCCACGTCAAGGGGCCTGTGCCCGCCCACTGGGCACCCAGCCCCAGCCAAACTCCAGGCACCCCCAGTCCCAGAGCTCATCATCCTGCCAACAGTGTCTCTTGGCTCTGTGATCACTCCCAGGGAAGGGGGCTGGTGGGGGTCCAGGTCCCTGATCCCAGCCAGCAGATGGGCAAAACAGCCATGAGGCTTCCATCCGTCCACAAGGGGTCAGGCTGGAAGGTGGCAGGAGGCCAAGGAGCTGCCAGCAACCTCCCGGAGAGATACCAGACCCACCTGCTAGGATTCTTCACCCCGGGAGCGCTGCCCACCAGCTCCTCAGCTCCAGGCCGCAGGCATCCAGCAGTTGCTGGTTGGGGACAGGACACACCCCTCACTTCCTTTAAATAGGCAGTGTGACTTTTCTAAAAGTGGCACCTGCCAAATTCCACCCCGATGGCCACACAGGCTTCAGCCCCTTGGGGCACCCACTCCAGTTTCTCTCTAGCCACCACCAACTGAGAGACCACCAGGGTTTTCCCTTCTCCCTCTGACTTCTGCCCACAGGCTTGATCAGGAGGTCTTGACACTCACGTTGGACTAAGGACAGGACAATGAGTGCTTGGTGGCTAAGGGAAGTGGGGGGTGGGAAGTGGAGGGGCAGGGAAAGGATTCAGGCATGGGGGCTGGGATGGACAAGTAGATGGAAAATAATAGCATGCACCCCATAATAACCAAGCACCTGCCGTGTGACAGGCCTCGGGCTGGTCTTCCTCCAACCCCACTGGGAAGATTCCTTAGGAAGGGTACGTGACATGCCCCAGGTGGCACAGCCAGTGACAGCACAGACCAGCTGGGACAGACCCGCTGGATTCCGAGGGCACAGCCTTCCTTCCATCCTCAGGGCCTCTCGCTCATTCACCACAGATCTAATCATGCATCCTCCAGGCCTGTCTTGCCTAAGAAGCCTGAGTTCTCCTTCTTTCACTAGTGTACCATGTGACTCTGGGCAAGTTCCCTCCTTTCTCTGGGCCTCCCTGCTCCACAAGTCAAGGACTCTAATAATGTCCATCCCCATGAGCTCAGGCCTTGCCCTCAAACAGCTTGTTAGTGGTCAGCCATTCTGTGTCTACAAATGAGAAATTGAAGTCACACCTTAAAGACTGCAAGATGGCCCATGGATGGCCCTGAGGATTGGAGCAATCCTGGAGACTTCCTGGAGGAGATAGTGCTAGAGCTCGCCTGAAGACTGAATGGGCTTGGATAGGCTGAGAAGAGGGGTGAGGTGGAAGACCTGACAGGCGCAGAACAGGAGGCAGTCATAGGCCGTGAGGAGCATGGCCTTGCAGGAAAGCTGGGAACCTGTCATGGAGGGCTCGAATGCCAGACATTGGGCTTTAGGCATCAAGGAGCCTGTGAGAATGACAGAATGACGAGCACGCTCGACATGAGGAAAGCCACGTGAGGCGGACAGGACAGGTGTCATGAGACTTCCCTGGATGGTAAGGAAGTCAGCCCAAAGAGGGGATATCTCATCTTATGGGTCCCCAAGCTAACTTGACAGGCAGCCAGGGCAATTTCAGAATCCTCCCTCTGCAGAAGGAGGAATGAAAACCCAGAGAGCTCCTGGCTCCCAAGCCTACCCTCTCTCCAGACAACTGCAATGTCCCACACTCACTGGATTTGGCTCACCCCTGCATGTTACAGATGGCTAAACTGAGGCCCGGAGGAAAGTGAGGCTCCCAAAGACACACAGTGAGGAAGTTGGCTAGAATCACACCCCTGACCTCAAGTCCAGAGCCCTGTCCACCCCCCACACAGCAAGGCATGAAATGAGAGAGGCTTCAGTTAGACTTACGAGAGGACTTCCAGAAAGGCTGAATCAATCTTAGTGTTAGGAACAAGCAGCAGAGAGCTAGATCTTTCAACAGGTGCCCCTCCAACCCACAAAGGTCCCTCTCCTCTCTGCGCTTTCTATTACAGAGCTCACTCCTGTGTCGCCGCAACAGCTCTGTGCAGTCTGTTACTCCAGTGAATGTTCCCATGGGTGTCTGTCTCCCCTTTCCAACTCACCCACGAGCTCCCTGAGGGCTTGGACCACATCTTACCTATCTCTGTGCCCCCTCCCCACCACCCTGCAGACTTGGACACCATGTGCAGGAGGCATGAAACACACATGGCTGGATCACAGCCCTGAACGGGGATCAAGAAGAGGTCTGCGGTTCTCAAACTCCAGCCTGCACCAGAATCACCTGGAGGGCTTGTCAAAATATAGATTGCTGGGCCCTGTCCCCACAGTTTTTGATTCCATAGAACTGAAGCAGCACCCAAGAATTTGCGTTTCTAACAAGACCCCAAAGGATACCTATGGTCCAGGGACCGCGCTTGGAGAACTGGCGAGCTGGGGTCAGCCCTCCCATTTTACACCCGGGGACAATGAGGCCCAGAGATTTTTTGTTCTTTTTTTTTTTTTTTTTTTGACAGAGTCTCACTCTGTCACCCAGGCTGGGTGCAGTGGCGCAATTTCGGCTCACTGCAACCTCCACCTCCTGGGTTCAAGCGATCCTCCTGACTCAGGCTCCTGAGTAGCTGGGGTTGCAGGCACGCGCCACCACGCCCAGCTAATTTTTTTTTTTTTTTTTTGAGACGGAGTCTTGCTCTGTCGCCCAGGCTGGAGCGCAGTGGCGCAATCTCGGCTCACTGCAAGCTCTGCCTCCCGGGTTCATGCCATTCTCCTGCCTCAGCCTCCCGAGTAGCTGGGACCACAGGCGCCCACCACCACGCCCGGCTAATTTTTGTATTTTTAGTAAAGATGGGGTTTCACCGTGTTAGCCAGGATGGTCTTGATCTCCCGACCTCGTGATCGGCCCACCTCGACCTCCCAAAGTGCTGGGATTACAGGCGTGAGCCATCACACCCGGCCCTGTTTTTTAATATTTTTTAGCAGAGATGGGATTTCACCATGTTGGCCAGGCTGGTCTCGAACTCCTGACCTCAGTGATTTGCCCACCTCGGCCTCCCAAAGTGCTGGGATTACAGGCATGAGCCACTGCGCCCGGCCGAGGCCCAGAGATTTTAAAGGCAGCACTTGATAGTATGTCACTGTCATCATCATAGTCACTGTCATTATAACCCTATCATTATAGCCCTTTTCAATGCCCAGCACTGTGCACGCACATCGTGTATGTTATTGCCTTTAGGCCTCACCCTAAAAGGAAGATACTATGATTATTATTTTCCTGTAGAGGAAAAAATGGAGGCAAAGAGTATTAAGTCATTTGTCCAAAGTCACATCACTGGGAAGGGAACATCGGGATTTGAACCCTGATCTAAGTCCGAAGCCCACAGATTTAACCACCACCCTCCACAACCTGCTTATAGCTTATGCTGACCAGCCAGAAAATTCTCTAGGGGCTCCCAAATCCCGCAGGTTCATCTCTAATGTGAGGGGAGTTTGTGGTGACCTCAGCCCAAAGGCCCAGTCCCTAAGTGGGCCTCTGGGGAGTCTCACATTTAGAGAAAGCCTGCCTCTTCACACCTGTGAACCCAGAGGATTTTCTCTTTCAAACACTCATTTTCCCAAACTACAACCTTCTTCACCTGGCCCCATGGATCAGGCCTTTCTGGCTGGAGGCCAAACGTCTGCATTAATTCTTCTGGTCCATGTCTCAACTCGGCCTCCCCACTCAGTGACAAAACACAATGAAATTATCTCCATTTACATTCCACAGTGATTCTGGGTTGCAGCTGTCAGGCACGGATCTGTCTCTCCCACCAGACTGGGAGCTCACATGAGCAGGGACCTCTTCTGAATCATCTGAGTTCCCAGCACAAGGCTTGCCCAGAGGAAGGGTTTGGTGACTAAGTGAAGAATGAATGAATGAGTGGGTTTAAGGGCAAAAGAGGAAATGAATGAGTGAATAAAATAACCAATCTCCCAGGAATTCCCTCTCCTGGCTTTTTGGCCTTTCCAGACAGGACCACGGACTCTCTGGAGAGGAGGGACGTCTCACACCATCTACACCAACTTCCGCTTTCAGTACTGTCCTAGCTGAACTCCTACAGCTTCTACCAGAACCAACAGCTCCACACACACACAAGAGCCAGAAGGGTCTTGCCGTGACCGTGGCTCTGGGCTGCTCAGAACAAGGCTGCTCCTCTCTCCTGTCCTCCACTCAGCCCTGGCCTCGCTGTCCAGACTTCGTTCTTCTGATCCCCTCATGCCATGAATAGAACTGCCCACTGCTCCCTCACACCCCTGGTGTGTCCTTTGTTTCTGCTGTTCCCTCCACCCTGATGCCCGTTTAATAAGTCTACATCCAAACCGTGCCCGCCATCAAGGCCAGCTCAAATGTCACTGCCTCCAGGAAGCCTTCTTGGCCCCTCCTAAGTGGAATTACATTCTCCCCCTATGTGCCCCAACGCCTGTGCACACACAGACACACACACACACAACACACACACACTTCACAGCCCTTTCTCGGTGCATTTTCTCATAAATTGGACTGATTTGTGCTAATTCCCCCTTTTTGACCTTGAGCTAGCTGGCATCAGGGATGGGACTGGCCAATCAGAGTATCCTGGCCCCTCCCGCAAACACTCAGGGCCTTGAACACAGTAGATGCTCAGTAAGTGTCCAGAAAATGAATGAATGAGTAATTAACTGCAAAAGAATGAAGGAATGTATGAGTGAGTGAATGGAAGTAAACGCATGTGTAAATGCATGCTCAAATGAATGAGTGGACGCAAGAACGTTCTCATTCCCTCCTGTTCTCCAAACTAAAAACTCCCAGTTGCTCCTGACCCCTCCTAGGGGCCCCTTAGGCATGGCATGACAGAATAAAGGAAGTTGTGGGATAAATGCGGGGGAGAGGGACAAAGGAAGGAAGGACAGAGGAAGGGGTTAGTGATACCAGCACTAGAGGAAGTGGAGGTGACCTGGCTTCAAAACGTGGCGCTTCTCACAGCCACATTTCTTTATGGAGAAGGTGGGGCAAGGAAAGCTGTGAGAAACCGGGGGAGGGGGAAAGAAGTGTCCAGAGGAAAGAAGACACAGCCTGGTGGGGACGGAGGGCGGGAACGCCAAGTCCCGGAGGCCAGATTCAGGATGGATGAGCAGGCTGTGGGGCCCAGCCCTGAACGCATCCTGCCTAGGGGCCTCAGATATGCCCTCCCTCTCCCTCTCTCACCACCTCCTCCTGTGGGGACTGGAATCCCCTCGCTGGCCCAGCTGGCCGTCTGGACCCAGATTTGGCCCTGGCTCTCAAATCGCTCACAACAGGGGCTAGCGCTCCTCCCAGCCGCCCCGTCCGCAAATGAGTCAGCAGCGGCTGCACCCTCTGGCCTCTGAGTCTTGCGCCCCCAGGTCTTCTCCGGAGCCAGCCTCTGCGGCGCGCCGGGCCAGGTGACCACAGCCCGCCCCAACCCTAGTGAGAGACCAATCCCAGCGTAAATACCAGGGTGCTTCATGCCCCAGCCTGCAAGCAAGACCGTGCGAGGCAGCACCTGGCTGTCTGGAGGCCAGCGCCGGGGTACAGGCTGATCTCCCCAGGCAGCGTGCTGGAGCACAGGAGGAGCCCAGGAAACGGGGCCCTTCCCCCGCGCGGGGCGGGGAAGGGGCTCTTACCCAAAGGATGGGAGGCTCCGCCCCGGCGGCGTGCAGGGCCGAGGCCAGAGGAGCCCGCTGGGGGCGTCCGGGGAGCGAGTCCGCGGGGAGGGGCTCAGAAACAGGCCTCCGAGGTCCCCGAGCCCAGCCAGAGGCGGGAAGCTGCGGGCAGGCTGAAGGGAGGCGCGGAGGCGGCGGCGCTGTAGAGTTCCTGGACGGCTCTGCCCTTCCCCGCCCCTCCGGCGCGGGTGCGGCACCCGGGGCTGCCCAGGCTGCACATCACACAGGCCTGGGCCCCGCCGGCGCCAGGCTCCCCGCCCGCAAGGCGTCAATCCCCGGGCGCTGGGCGCAGGCGGAAACGCGGGCGGCCGCACCAGGCAAAGTCCGGGCGGAGCGCCCCTGAGCCGCCTTCTGCGATGCGGAGCCGGCCACTCAGCCTTCCAAAGGGATATTTGCTATTCGTTCACACCTTGACTGAGCACCTACTATGTGCCAGACCACGCACTGTGTCCTGGGATGAGGTTCTGAGCAGGATGCGCTGTGCTTGTCCTCATGGGTATTGATAGAAAGAGAAAAAAAAAAGTGGATAGTTTTGCACAGCACAAAGCAAATGCATACCACCCAAGATGTCTTTACTCAGAGAGAAGCTAGACTAGAGCTGGCAGATGCAGACGTGGTTGGTAAGAGATGGTGGTACCACTCCCTCCCCACCCCCCGTATGTATTGTTATGTAAGAGATGATATGAAATCTACAATGTGTGATCACGGGCTCAGAAGAGTCGCTCAGAAAAACGTCCATCAGGCCGGGCGTGGTGGCTCACGCCTGTAATCCCAGCACTTTGGGGGGCCTAGGCGGGTGGATCACCGGAGGTCAGGAGTTCGAGACCAGCCTGGCCAACATGGCGAAACCCCATTTCTACTAAACATACAAAAAATTAGCCGGGAGTGGTGGCGGGAGCCTGTAATCCCAGCTACTCGGGAGGCTGAGGCAGGAGAATTGCTTGAACCCGGGAGGTGGAGCTTGCCGTGAGCTGAGATCGCGCCACTGCACTCTAGCCTGGATGACAAGAGCGAAACTGTCTCAAAAAAAAAGAAAAAAAGAAAAAGAAAAACATCCATTAGTGTCATGTTTGGGATCTAGGCTCAGCTGGCAAACTTAGAAGGGGCCTGACAAAACACAGTGGTGGTCCCTTCTAAGAAGGAAGTGAATCCCCGGAGGAGGAGGCACTTGGCAGGTGGAGTACATTCAACACACCAGAACCAGGGATTCGGAGGGGGCTAGGCATTCCAGGCACCCACAGAGGCTGGCACCTGAACTCATCCTGCCCCCACAACTCTGGGGAGAAAAGGGCAATTTATGTACAAAGAGAGCAGCTGTGCTGAGCTTGGCCACCTGGGGCCCAAGCAGCCCTCCTGTGGAGGGCCTCTCGGTGTAACAAAAACGGAGGCCTTGGCTTTGTCACTTGCTTCCACCATCCTCTGAGAGCACGGTAAGGGTTCAATGTCATGGCAGAATGATGAACACCCCGTGCATGGGGCTTTGGCAGCAGCCTGGATGGCCACTCCAGCCATCTTTTGCTCAGCTGTCCTCATCAGTGTTGGAGCCTCAGCTCAGCAGAGGCCCCAGGTGTCAGCAACAGCAAAGTGCCGACGCTCCCGGCCGAATAAAAACCTCTTCCTTCTTTAATCCAGTGTCTAAGGAGTTTTGTCTGCAGCTCATCCTACTACAAAAGGACATCTTAGATCACTTTCCAAGTGCAAGTGAGGCACATGTGGGAACACCCAGAAACATATGGGGCAGGTGGACTGTGCTGAGAAGGGGAATTCCCACCCTGGCAAGATGAATCTGGTCTGTGTAAACCATGGTTTAATTTTAATGTGCCACTCTAATCAAGTGGTGAATCCTGAAAATACTCAGATTAACCATATTGGATACACTGTTTTGTAATCTGCTTTTTCTCTTAATTATCAAATATTAAACAATTATCTTTTCATGATTTTCTTTCTTTTTTTTTTTTTTAATCGTAGAGATGGGATCTACCCATCTGTCCAGGCTGGACTTGAACTGCTGGCCTCAAGTGATCCTTCCCCTTCAGCCTCCTAAAGTGCTGGGATTACGGGCATGAACCATTGTGCTGAGCCTTTCCATGATTTTTATTGCTACACAGTATTTCTTTATGTGGATCTACTTCAATTTATTTAGCCAATCTCTTTCCTTTTCTTTTTCTTTTTCTTTTTCTTTTTTTTTTTGAAACATAGTATCGCTCTGTCCCCAGGCTGGAGTGCAGTGGCACAATCTCAGCTCACTGCAACCTCCGCCTCCCGGGTTCAGGCAATTCTCCTGCCTCAGCCTCCTGAGAAGCTGGGACTACAGGTGCACACCACCATGCCCGGCTAATTTTTGTATTTTTAGTAGAGACAGGGTTTTACCATGATGGCGAGGATGGACTCGATCTCCTGCCCTCGTGATCCACCCACCTCGGCCTCCCAAAGTGCTGGGATTACAGGCATGAGCCACCACTCCCAGCCTGTTTTGTTTTTAATAGCTTTATTGAGATACAGTTACTAAACAACTGCACATATTTAAAGTGTGCCATTTGATGAGTTTTGATATACATACATAATATATACATATGCATATAAATTACATATGTATATCAAAACACACACATATATACATATGTATATATATACGTATGCATATAAATTACATATGTATATCAAAACACGCACACACTATATATATGCATATATATATGCATATATATGCATATATATGCATATATATATAGTGTGTGTGTGTGTATACATGTATATATGTATATATCTCCATCATCTCATTCATCACCATGTCAAGGTAATGAACATATTCATCACCCCCAAAGTTTCCTCATGGCCCTACACTGCCCACTTCCCCACATCCCCAAGCAAATAATAATCTGCTTCTGTCCCTAGATTAGTTTTCATTTTCTAAAATTCTATATAAATGGAATCATACAGTATGTATTATTTTTCTCTGCCTTTGTTCACTCAGCATAATTATTTTGCAATTCATATGTTTTGTTGCATATATCAATAATTTGTTCTCTTTTATTATTGCTGAGCAGAATGCCATGGTATGAATAGAACAGAATTGGCTTATCCATTCACCTATTGATGATGGATTTTTAGTTGTTTCTAGTTACTGGCTATCATACAAATAAAGCTGGCATGAGCATTTGTGTTCATATCTGTGTGTAGACATGTACTTTTTTTTTTTTTTTTTTGAGATGGAGTTTCACTCTTGTGGCCCAGGATGGGGTGCAGTGGCATGATCTCGGCTCACCGCAACCTCCGCCTCCCAGGTTCAAGTGCTTCTCCCACCTCAGCCTCCCAAGTAGCTGGGATTACAGGTATGCACCAGCACGACTGGCTAATTTTGCATTTTTAGTAGAGATGGGGTTTCTCCATGTTCGTCAGGCTGGTCTTGAACTCCCGACCTCAGGTGATCCGCCTGCCTCAGCCTCCCAAAGTGCTGGGATTACAGGCGTGAGCCACCGCGCCCAGCCGACATGTACTTTTATTTGTCTTAAATAAGTGCCTAACAATGGCATGTAGTCCCAGCTGCTCAGGAGACTGAGGCACAAGGACTGCTTAAGCACAGGAGCTCAAGTCTTGAGTAATAGACTCAATTGCTTGGGTCTGTTTTTGGACTCTGTACTTTGGTTCTGTTAATCTACATGTCTGTTGTTTTGTTTTGTTTTGAGATGGAGTCTTGCTCTGTCACCCAGGCTGGCATGCAGTGGTGCAATCGCAGCTCACTGCAATCTCTGCCTCCTGGGTTCAAGCAAGCCTGGTGCCTCAGCCTTCCACGTAGCTGGGACTTCAGGCGTGCACCACCACGCCTGGCTAATTTTTTTGTATTTTTAGTAGTGACAGGGTTTTGCTATGTTGGCCAGGCTGGTCTCAAACTCCCGACCTCAGGTGATCCACCTGCCTCAGCCTCCCAAACTATTGGGATTACAGGAGTAAGCCACCTCGCCTGGCCCTATATGTCTATGTTTAAGCCAATACTACATTTCCCCAATTACTGTACCATCTTGAAATCAGGTAGTGTAGGTCCTTCAACTTTGTTTTTCTTTTTCAAAGTTGTTTTGACTATTCTGAGTACTTTGCATTTTACTTAAATTTTATTATCAGCTTATCCATTTCTTTTTTAAAAGCCTGCTTGGATTTTGGTTGGGATTATGTCGAATCTATAGGTTAATTTGGAGAGAACTGAGATTAATAATTTTGATTGATGAACATGATATATCTCTCTATCTATTTAGATTTTCTTTAATTTCTCTCGGCAGTGTATTGTAATTTCAAGCTACAGGTCTTGCATATCTTTTTTTTAAGATGCATTTATTCAGCATCATAATCAGACTATTACATTTAGCAGTCAACAGCGTGGGTGCAAAAAAAAAATCTGCGTTAAAACCCTTTGTTGGAATGCTTTACACCTTCCACAGAACAGGAACTAAAATAACCTGTTAACACAATTAGTGACAAATACAGTCCTCAAGTTTTTCGCCCATAGACATAAGTATGGTCTAAACAATGTCTTCTTTGTAACGGCTAGGCCCTGGTAGGCTGAGTTCACAAATCTGTTGTAACCCGTAGCTTCCTGTCCCTTCTCTGGCTCTCCTCTCCTGCTAAGTTTTCTTTCCTGTCAGTAATTAAAATCTTCTGCCACTGGCATAGCTACTGTTGCTACTGGAACTGTCATAGCCACCTTGGTTTTGTGGTTAGGCAAAGTATTGGCCTCCACCACCATAGGGGCCAGAGCTTCTGCCTCCAAAGTTTTCTCCCTTCTTGGGTCCAAAATCTGAAGACTGATTGCTGTAATTGCCAAAATCACTGTAGCTTCCACCACTTCCAAAATTGCTTCCATCATTACCAAATCCATTATAGCCATCCCCACTGCCATCATATCCACCACCACCCTGGCTGCCACCAAAGCCACTATGACCACTAAAGTCTCCTCCATGACCAAAGTTGTCATTCCCACCAAAACCACCTCTACAACCACCACCAAAATTTCCAGAACCTGTTCGACCTCTTTGGCTGGATGAAGCACTAGCCATCTCTTGCTTTGACAGGGCTTTCCTAACTTCACAGTTGTGGCCATTCACAATATGGTATTTCTGAATGACAGTCTTATCCACGGAGTCATGGTCATCAAAGGTTACAAAGGCAAAGTCCCTTTTCTTGCCACTGCCATGGTCAGTCATGATTTCAATCACTTCCATTTTTCCAAACTATTGAAAATAATCTCTTAGGTGATGTTCTTCAGTGTCTTCTTTAATACCACCAACAAATACCTTTTTCACAGTTAAGTGAGCACCTGGTCTTTGGGAATCTTCTCTTGAGACAGCTCTCTTTGTTTCCACAACTCTTCCATCCACCTTGTGTGGCCTTGCATTTGTGGCTGCATCCACCTCCTCCACAGTGGCATATGTGACAAACCCAAAGCCCCTGGAGCACTTAGTGTTTGGATCTCTCAGGACCACACAGTCCGTGAGCGTTCCCCATTGCTCAAAATGGCTCCTCAGGCTCTCATTGGTTGCTTCAATGCTCAACCCTCCAGTGAGGAGTTTCTGCAGCTGTTCGGGCTCTTTAAGAGATTCTGACTTAGACATGATGGCAGGGGGAAGAGAGACTTTAATGATCCAGGTCTTGCGTATCTTCTGGCAGATTTGTCACTAAGTATTTCCCATATTAATACTATCATAAATGTACTTTTAACATTTCAATTTCAAGCAGAAGGTTGTAAGCATGTAGAAATACCATTGATTTTGGTATGCTGAGTATGTGTCTTGAAACTTACTAAACTCACATACTTTTAGCAGTATTTTGTAGATTCCTCAGAATTTTCTTTATAGATGACCATGTTGTCTGCAAATAGTTTTACCTCTTCATTTCCTATCTGCATGTCTTTATTTTTATTCATTTATTTATTTTTAGATTTCTCCCAATTTAGGAATATTTTATTTATTGTGTAGAGATTAACTCCCTTCTTCTTTATTCTGGATAAAATCTTCTTTATTCTGGACTTCATTATCACGGTTCCATAGTATGATTACACACTCCAGCATGACATTGAACAGAAGTGGGAAAAACAGGACATCTTTGCATTGTTCCTGATCTAAGAGAGAAGGGCACTCACTCTTTCATAATTAAGCATAACATTAGAGATAGGTTTTTTTGTAGATGCGCTTTAACAGGTTGCAGAAGTTCCCTTCCTTCTATTCCTAATTTGCTGCAAGTTTTTGTCATGAACAGATGTTGGATTTCACCAAATGCTTCCCTGTATCTATTGAGATGATCACATGGTTTATCCTTTTTAGTAAATTAACATGGTAAATTACACTGAATAATTTTCAAATATTAAACTAATCTTTCACTCTTGAGATTATGCATTGTGTAATGATGTATCTTACTTTCTATATATTAGTGGTGTTGATTTTTGTTAAAATTTTTTGCATCTATTTAATTATGGATATTGTTCTGCAGATTTCTTTCTTTGTAATATTTTTACCTGGTTGTAATATCGGGGTAATGCTAACCTCATAGAATGAGTTGGGAAGTGTTGCCTTCTTTTCAGTTTCCCAAATGACTTTGTGAATTGCTATTATTTATTCCTTAAATGTTTGATAAAATTCACCAGCAAAGTCATTATGTGACGTAATCTTCGTGGGAAACTTTTGTTTGTTTGTTTGAGACGGAATCTCACTCTTTCGCCAGGCTGGAGTGCAGTAGCGTGATCTTGGCTCACTGCAACCTCCGCCTCCCAGGTTCAAGCGATTCTCCTGCCTCAGCCTCCCAGGTAGCTGGGATTACAGGCACGCACCACCACATCCAGCTAATTTTTGTATTTTTTGTAGAGACAGGGTTTCACCACGTTGGCCAAGATGGTCTCAATCTCCTGACCTCGCCATCTGCCCTCCTTGGCCTCCCAAATTGCTGGGATTACAGGTGTGAGCCATTGTGCCCAGCCTCGTGGGAAATTTTTATACTACACATTCAATTTCTTATAGATATAGAGCTATATAAGTGACCTATTTCTTCTTGAATGAGCTTTGGTGCTTTGTATCTTTCTGTACTTCATCAAAAATTTCAAATTTATTGGCATAAAGTTATTCACAATATTTCCTTATTACCTAGTTAATGTCCATCAAATCTGTAGAAATCTATCATTTCTGAGATTGACAATTTATGTCTTCTTTCTTTTTCCTAATCAGCCATTTGCTCAATTTCATTAATCTTCTCAAAGTACCAAATTTTTGTTTCATTGATTTTTCCTATTGCCTTTTTGTCTTATGTTTATTAATTTCTACATTTATCTTTATTATATCCTCTCTTCTGCCACTTTCTGGTTTTGTAAAGACGGAAGCTTAGGTAATTTATAAGAGACCTTTCCTTTTTTCTAATTTAAGTGTTTAATGCTATATAATTTCCTCAAACACTGCCTTAGCTAAATTCCAAAGGAGTTAACTTTTTTCTTCTTCTTCTTCTTCTTTTTTTTTTTTTTTTGAGACAGGGCTGGCTCTGTTGCCAGGCCGGAGTGCAGTGGTGCAATCTTGGCTCACTGCAACCTCCACCTCCCAGGCTCAAGTGATCCACCTCAGCCTCCTGAGTAGTTGGGACTTCAGAGGTATGCCACCAGGCCCAGGTAATTTTTGTATTTTTTGTAGATACGGGGTTTTGCCATGTTGCCCAGGCTGGTCTCGAACTCCTGAGCTTAAGTGGTCTGCCTACCTCGGCCTTCCAAAGTGCTGGGATTACAGGTGTGAGCCACTGCATCTGGCCAACATTGTGTTTTCACTTAGATTGAAACAATTTCTTATCTCTCTTATGACTTCTTGACCCATGCGTTATTTAGAACTGTGTTATTTTATTTTAAGAATAAATTTAACCAATGAGTTGAAAGAGCTATACACTGAAAACTCTAAAAACATTGATGAAAGAAATTGAAGAAGACACAAATAAATTGAAAGATATCCCATGTTCATGAACTGGAAGAATTAATATTATTAAAGTGTCCATACTACTCAAAGCAATCTAAAGATTCAATGCAATCCCTATCAAAATACCAATAACACATGTTCTCAGTACAAATACATAAATATGTGAGGTAATATGTGTGTTAATTAGCTTGATTTGGCCATTCCACAATGTATATATATTTCAAAATATCATGTAGTATACCATAAATACATACGGTTTTTTGTTTTTTTTTTTTTTTTTTGAGATGGAGTCTTGCTCTGTTGCCAAGCTGGAGTGCAGTGGCACAATCTTGGCTCACTGCAACCTCTGACTCCCTGGTTCAAGCGATTCTCCTGCCTCAGCCCCCTGAGTAGCTGGGATTAAAGGCACATGCCACCACGCCCAGCTAATTTTTGTATTTTTAGTAGGGACGGGGTTTCACCATGTTGGCCAGGATAGTCTCGATCTCCTGACCTCGTGATCTGCCTGCCTTGGTCTCCTAAAGTGCTGGGATTACAGGCGTGAGCCACCACGCCAGGCCACATATGATTTTTATGTGTCAATTAAAAAAAAAAAACTAGGGCCGGGCGCGGTGATCACAGGAGATCGAGACCATCCTGGCTAACACGGTGAAACCCAGTCTCTACTAAAAATGCAAAAAATTAGCCGGGCATGGTGGTGGGCACCTGTAGTCCCAGCTACTCGGGAGGCTGAGGCAGGAGAATGGCGTGAACCTGGGAGGCGGAGCTTGCAGTGAGCCGAGATCGTGCCACTGCACTCCAGCCTGGGTGACTGATCCAGACTCCATCTCCAAAAAAAAACAACAACAAATAGGCTCTAGACTGTGTGCAATCTATGAACAATACAAGAGGACTTATTCATCTTGGCCCTAGCACCTGGCACCATATCCAGACCAAAGTGTGTGCTCAATAATGTTTATTGAGTAGCTTGTGGAGCAAGCGAGTCGAGCCCTAGACTGAAAGTCAAAAGACCTGTGTTTGAATCCAGTTCTGCCACTAACCAGCTCACTATGCTTGAGCCTACGAGTTTGAGACCAGCCTGAGCAACATGGCAAAACCTCGTCTCTACAAAAAAATCAAAAAAATAGCCGGGCGTGGTGGCACCAACCCGTAGTCCCAGCTACTTGAGAAGCTGAGGTAGGAGGATCACCTGAACCCAGGGAGATCAAGGCTGCAGTAAGCCATGATCACACCCCAGGTGACAGAGCGAGACCCTGTTTCTTTTTTCTTCTTCTTCTTATTTTCCTTTTATTTATTACATATACATACATTATAATCTCAACAATATAATTAAGAAAATTATTATTTTTTTAAAATTATTATTATACTTTAAGTTTTAGGGTACATGTGCACAATGTGCCGGTTAGTTACATATGTATACATGTGCCATGCTGGTGTGCTGCACCCATTAACTCGTCATTTAGCATTAGGTATATCTCCTAATGCTATCCCTCCCCCCTCCCCCCAGAGACCCTGTTTCAAAAAAAAAAAAATTGTATGCTACTTTTTTTTTTTTTTTTTTTTTTGAGACAGGGTCTAGCTCCGTCGCCCGGGCTGGAGTGCAATGGCACAATCTTGGCTTACTACAACCTCCACCTCCTGGGTTCAAGCAATTCTCTTGCCTCAGCCTCCTGAGTAGCTGGGATTACAGGTGTGAGCCACCATGCCCAGCTAATTTTTTTTTTTCTTTTTTTGAGACAGAGTCTTGCTCTGTCGCCCAGGCTGGAGTGCAGTGGCGCAATCTCAGCTCACTGCAAGCTCCACCTCCTGGGTTCACACCATTCTTCTGCCTCAGCCTCCCGAGTAGCTGGGACTACAGGTGCCCACCACCACGCCTGGCTAATTTTTTGTATTTTTT
Organism: Homo sapiens; assembly: GCF_000001405.40. NCBI lineage: Eukaryota > Metazoa > Chordata > Mammalia > Primates > Hominidae > Homo > Homo sapiens. The sequence continues at coordinate 54,532,570 of NC_000001.11, read as the reverse complement.
TAGTAGAGACGGGGTTTCACGTGTTAGCCAGGATGGTCTCGATCTCCTGACCTCGTGATCCACCCATCTCGGCCTCCCAAAGTGCTGGGATTACAGGCGTGAGCCACCACGCCTGGCCAAATTTTTGTATTTGTATTTTAAATGGCTTTTTAACCTAAGAAATATAAGCACATGATTTTCAAATTAAATATTATTGACAGATTCATAGTAAAAAGCAGTTCATCTATACCTCTCTCCCCTGAATGCTAGTCCTGCTCCTAAGACACAACCATTTTTTAGTTCTTTTAGCTATTTTTTCTAGTTGCCATTTCCATTTTTCAAAATAATGTGCTTACGCAGCAATTCCTTGCTTAATCAATTTTAAACATTATCTGTAGATGATCATCCATAATAGATAATAAATTAACACATACCAGCACCATAACTCTTCTCTCTCCCAACCCCAACAATGCTCCATCAGTGTTTTTCACTCCCTACCTTTGCAAATAAACTCTTTTCCATTGTTCCGTAATCTTAGATAATAGTGTGTGACTTCCCATTTTGTAAAATGAGGACATTAGGCCCCTTTCTTTCCCCTTTAACTTTCCTCTCCCCTTTCTACCTCTCTTACTTTGTTTGAACTTTCAAATTTTCAAAGTTGTTAACATTAAATTCTGTTCTATAACCGTAATTACATCTGCAAACCTTACTACAGATTGACCCTAATATACAGCATTTAATTTTTTTTTTTTTTTTTTTTTGAGACCGAGTCGCTCTCTGTCGCCCAGAGCTAGAATCTCACCCAGAATGGTGCAGTCTCGGCTCATTGCAACCTTCACCTCCCGAGTTCAAGTGATTCTCCTGCGTCAGCCTCCTGAGTAGCTGGGATTACAAGTGTGTGCCACGATGTCCAGCTAATTTTTGTATTTTTAGTAGAGACGGGGTTTCACCATGTTGGCCAGGCTGGTCTCGAACTCCTGGCCTCAAGTGATCAGCCCACCTCAGCCTCCCAAAGTGCTAGGATTACAGGCGTGAGCTACCTCGCCTGGCAGCATTTACATTATTATCAGCTATGAGAATAGCTGATAAATAACTAATTTATTTCAGAGACAAATTAGGTACTATCATTTCCCTTCCTTTCTTATAGAACAGTTTGTTTTTCCCAGAGTTTCTACTTTCTTTTCTCTTGTACTGTTTTCCTTAAGTTATTCTCATTCATTAGGTCTGGACAGTTGCACCTCTCTGTGCTCTGTCATGTCAGACGGTCTAACGGATCCCCTTTTTATCTTCTCAGACCCCTCCATCCTCCTAATCAATCTGGCCTGGTTGCTCTCTAAGCTTACTGGTATGGTGGTCATCAGTGCTGTTCACAAATACTCTCATTCATTACGTCTCATTCATTACCACCTTCGTTGGTGGTAAAGCATTGAGATTGTGGGGGTGTTTGTTAACTCTTCATAACCTAGCTTCTCCCAACTGACGTGGAAATTGGTACCAGAAGTGGAGTGGCACTGTAACCAAATCTGAAATATGGCCAGGCGTGGTGGCTCACGCCTATAATCCCAACACTTTGGGAGGCCGAGGCAGGCGGATTGTTTGAGGTCAGGAGTTCGAGACCAGCCTGGCCAACATGGTGAAACGCTGTCTCTACTAAAAATATGAAAATTAGCCAAGCGATGGTGGTGCACGCCTATAGTCCCAGCTACTAGAGGGCTGAGATGGGAGAATCACTTGAGCCCAGAGGGCGGAGGTTGCAGTGAGCCGAGATTATGCCACTGCACTCCAGCCTGGGCAACAGAGGGAGACTCCATCTCAAAAAAAAAAAAAAAAAAAAAAAAAGAGGTTAGCAACAGAACATTAGTAGTGTGTATTGGTTGCTGTTGGCTATATTTGACAAGGTACTCCAAAAATTATTAGCCTCAGAAAATAATTGGCCAGTTTACCAGCAAGAATGAAATCAAACAGAAAGAATCCAGACATCAGGATTTACAGGATTACTTCTCAATCTCAATCTATAGCTGATGAAAGTGAGGAGATTTTTGAGTGAAAAAGCCTAGGCAGAAGCAGAAGTATTGCCGTCACCCTCTTGTTAAAACCTCTAAGTGCGGCCAGACACTGGATCAAGCCTGTAATCCCAGCACTTTGGGAGGCCACGGCAGGAGAATCACTTAAGCCCAGGAGTTCAAGACCAGTCTAGGCAACATCATGAGACCCCCATCTCAACAAAAAAATTTTTAAATTAGCTAGGCATGGTGGCACACCTGTGGTCCCAGCTACTCAGGAAGCTGAGGTGGGAGGGCCCCTTGAGCCTAGGAGTTTGAGCCTACAGTGAACCATGATCTGGGCAACAGAACCTGTCTCAAAAAAATAAAATAAAACCTCTAAATGCATTACAGTGTCTCACAGTAAAGGTCCAGTTAAGAGCATAGCACCCAGTAAATCTTTCAACTAGACAAAATAATTCAGAGAAAGGGAGCTAAAGAGGTGGCTTCCCCACTCTATCAGGTCCAGGAAAACAGAAACTAAGGAATCTCAGACACAGGTAATTTAATGTAGGGAATTGGTGTTACACAGATATTGGGAGTTTGCAAAAACAAAAAGGGGATGTTGATATCACCCAGATATTAGTAACTACAAAAAGCAGCTGCCACTCCTGGGAAAGAAGTAATCAGATACTAGTAAATGCCAAATCAGGAATAAAAGGGAAGAGGCATGGCTACTAGAACCTAACTGCTTGGAGGGGAGGCCCCACATGGCTGCTACAGACTTTCAAGGGGCATCACCCGGCTGGTGTGTGGATATCTGAGTAGCTGGGAATGGGACCTCTGGGGGACTGGTCTTCACACCGCTAAGAGATGTGGCCAGATGGCACTGAAACTTCTGAGGGGACTGGATATGGGTGGTGCTGAGACAGCCAAAGGAAGCCAGGGGCTGAAGCCATTGCTGTCCCTTGCTGCTGGAACGAAGTCCTGTTTCTCCTCTTACCTTGAGATCATCTGCCAGTTCCTCCCAGCAGAAGAACCTAACAGGAAGCCAACTGGCAAGGACACCTGGGAAACGGTGGTTTGCTGAGTTTTGGTCAAAACAGACCATAATGCACAAGGGCGATCTTAGAGCTGGGAGACTATAAGAAAACAACCAGCACACCCAACAAAGGCTGCTGGCCCAAGATACACACATTTAAGTCAAGGAGGGGCCAAATGCGGTGGCCCACGTCTGTAATCTCAGCACTTTGGGAGGCCAAGGCAGGAGAATCGCTTGAGCCCAGGAGTTCGAGACCAGCCTGGGCAACATAGGGAGACTCCATCTCTACAAAAATATTTTTTTGTTAATTAGCCAGTCATAATGGTGCACACCTGTGGTCCCAGCTACTTGAGAGGCTGGGGCAGGAGGATTGCTTAAGCCTGGTAGGTCAAGGCTGCAGTGAGTTGTGATCACATCACTGCACTCCAGCCTGGGTGACAGAGTGAGACCCTGCCTCTAAAAAAAAATCCATTTTGACTATTTTCCTTTGTAAATGTGACACAGAGACTTCTGATCATCCCCTGATATCTATTGTTTTTCTTCCTCAGTATTAGAATCCTGAATTTTAACCGTGCACATGCCACTCAAAATAAAGACTGCATGTGCCTGCCTTCCCTGCATCTAAGTGTGACCAGTAGATATGCAGATAACCAAGATCTGACCAGTAGGATGTAAGTGAAAGTGGTGTATACAACTTCTGGGATGCATTCTTAAAGCAGGAAGGGACATGCCTTTCTCCCCTGCTGCCTCCTTCTTGCTACCTGGAACATAAACATGTTGGCAGGTGCCCAAGCAGCCATCTTGGACCATAGGTGAAAGCAGCATTTTGGGGATAGTGGAAACTCAAGAAAGAGGCAGCCAGGTTTCTGGTAGTCATGGAGATGTCATACCAGCCTGAATTGCCTGTGTTTATTGCATGTGAGAAAGAGGAAGACTTTTACCTTATTTGCCTTATTATTACCTAAACATTTGCCTTACTTAAGCCATTGATATTTGAGGAAGTCTGTCCCTTGCGACTGAAACTAATCCTAACACAGTAAGTAATCTGGAATATTTTTTTCTCTCTAGAAGCTTTTAGGGGTTTCTCTTTATCCTAGGTTTTCTGAAGTCTTGATGATGTTTCTAGATGTGATTCTCATTTTATTCATTTTTCTGGGCACTTGGTAGGCCCTTTCCATCTATAGACTTATGCCCAGGAAATTCTTTTATATTATTTCTTTGATAAGTTCCTCTGTTCTATCCCTGAATACCTATTAGTTTGTTATTGAATTGATCCTGTGTCTCTTATCTTTCCACTGCTATTTCCATTGTTTCGTCTCATTTTAATTTATGGAATATTTGATTTTAATTACTCGATGATTTTACTTTTCTATTTTAGCAGTCATATTTTTTACTTTTCAAGGACACTTTCTTTTTGTTGCCATTATTGTTTAGTTTGTTCTTTTTTCTATCTTTTTTTTCCCCCTGAAACAGAGTCTTGCTCTGTCGTCCAGGCTGAAGTCCAGTAGTGCGATCTCGGCTCACTGCAACCTCTGCCTCTTAGGTCAAGCGATTCTTCTGCCTCAGCCTCCCGAGTAGCTGGGATTACAAGCACACACCACCACACCGGGCTAATTTTTGTATTTTTAGTACAGATGGGGTTTCACTGTGTTGGCCAGGCTGGCCTCAAACTCCTGACCTCAGGTGATCCACCCACCTTGGCCTCCCATAGTGCTGGGATTACAGGTGTGAGCCACCCTGCCTGGCCAGTCTGTTCCTTTTTCTTTTGTTTTTTGTTTTTTTGAGATGGAGTCTCCCTCCGCTGCCCAGGCTGGAGTGCAGTGGCGTGATCTCTGCTCACTGCAACCTCGCCTCTCCTGGGTTCAAGCGATTCTCCTGCCTCAGCCTCCTGAGTAGCTGGGATTACAGGCGAGTGCCACCATGCTCAGCTACATTTTTTTGAATTTTTAGTAGAGACAGGGTTTCACCATGTTGGTCAGGCTGGTCTCGAACTCCTGACCTCATGATCCGCCCGCCTTAGCCTCCCAAAGTGCTGGGATTACAGGTGTGAGCCACCAGGCCCGGCCAGTCTGTTCCTTTTTCAAAGCATCTACTCATGTTGTATGAACCTAAGATGGCTTTGAATCTCCAATTTTAGTATATGTGCTGCCAAAGCAAGCATGACTTTGAATCTCTCTGAAGACATTAAGTATTTTAGAGTTCTCTTCTGTCTCCTGAATGAGTTCTGTTTCCTCTAGGGTTGTTTCTGACCTTTGCTTTGTGCAGACTTTTCTCAAATGTATGCTGATGAGCTGTCAGTCCATATTTCAGAATGAGACAATAGATTGGGAGCTCTGTGTGAACAGGGTGAGGCTTACTAGTAGGCAAATTCAGGATTTGGGGTAAGAAACAGGTCATGATGCTGGGAGACCCCAGAGGGCTTTTTGCAAAGGTCTTTTTTCTGGGACCATCCAATTTCTTTGGAGAAGAGTCTTCAAATGGTGTTCCTGTGTGGTAGATGCCAAGTTTCTGGGCATTCAGATGCAACAGGACCTTCATTTAATCCCTAACTCTCTGCCCAAGTCTTATCCTCACCTTTAGTCCTGCGACTATTGGTATATTAGTCCGTTTCTACACTGCTATAAAGATACTACCTGAGACTGGGTAATTTATGAAGAAAAGGGATTTAATTGACTCACAGTTCCTCATGGCTGGGGAGGCCTCAGGAAACTTACAGTCATGGAGGAAGGCAAAGGGGAAGGAAGGCACATCTTACATGGTGGCAGGAGAGAGAAAGTAAAGGGAGAACTGCCAAACACTTATCAAACAACCAGATCTCGTGAGAACTCCCTCACTGTCATGAGAACAGCATGGAGGAAACCACCCCCCTCATCCAATCACCTCCCACCAGGCCCCTCCTCCAACATGCCAGGATTACAATTCGAGATGAGATTTGGGTGGGGACACAGAGCCAAACCATATCAGTCAGTTCTGCAAGACATACCACCTTCCTCCTTAGCTACATCCACCTCCATAGTATGCTAGGCTACTCCTCCATCTCTTTTATGTCTTTTTTATTGGCTAACTGCTACAATTTGTTGAAATTTCTTATTTGCTGATATCTCTCCCTTCCAGCCTCTTCATTATTGTGGATTTGTACCTTTTTATTTTCTTTGCTGTCATTTTAGTGCAGTCTTGTTAAGGAGGGGAAATTTTAAAAATAAATAAATATTGTCAGCCGGGCACAGTGACTGTCTTCTGTAATCCCAGCACTTTGGGAGGCCGAGGTGAGTGGATCACCTGAGGTAAGGAGTTCGAGACCAGCCTGGCCAACATGGTGAAACCCTGTCTCTACTAAAAATATAAAAAATTAGCCAGGCATGGTAGTGGGCGCCTGTAATCCCAGCTACTCAGGAGGCTGAGGCAGGAGAATTGCTTGAACCTGGGAAGTAGAGATTGCAATGAGCTGAAATCACACCGTTGCCCTCCAGCCTGGGCAACAAGAGTGAAACTCCGTCTCAAATAATAATAATAATAAATAAATAAATATTGTCAGAACACCATTTTAAACTCAATTAGTAATAATATTGAAACAGCCTGAGACTATATTTTTGTCATCTTTAAAAACAACAGGCCAGGCACAGCGGCTCACACCTGTAATCCCAGCACTTTGGGAGGCCACAGCAGGTGGATCACTTGAGCTCAGGGGTTCAAGACCGGCCTGGGCAACATAGTAAGACCCATCTCTACAAAAAAAACAAAAATTAGCCAGGCATGGTGGCACCCACCTGTGGTCTCAGCTACTCAGGAGGCTAAGATGAGAGAATCACCTGAGCCTGGGAGGCAGAGTTTGCAGTGAACTGAGATCATGCCACTGCACTCCAGCCCGGGTGACAGCACAAGACCCTGTCTCAAATAAAAATAACAATAAAAAAAAAAAACAACAAAAGATCATTGCATTATCAATGAAAACTTCTAGAACTCTTCCTATATGAATCCCTTTTAATCTCCACGTTCTGTTTAGATAATTGACATCTGAGTGCAAAGCATGGCTCTTACTTTTATTTCATAATGTTAGATTTTTCTTGGTTCCAGTCTGGGAATCTGTTTGTCTTTGATTTACTTGTTTGTTTTTAATAACTCTCAGATGCATAGAACTGGATTAATCATAATCCTTGGCTCAACACACTCATAGCTGTCTTTTATATTTATTTATTCTTCATTTGTTTGTCCACTTTTTAATTTATTTAACTAATAGACTATTTTTTAGCAGTTTCAGGTTTACAGAAAAATTGAGTGAAAAGCACAGAGAGTTCCGATATATCCTTATTTCCCACTCCAATTTCCCTTATTATTAAAATCTTGAATTAGTAGGGGGCATTTGTTTCAACTGATGAGCCAATACTGATATACTATTAATTAAAGTCCATAGCTTACATTAGGGTTCATTCGTATACATTCTATGGGTTTTAACAAACATCCATTTTTTTTAAGTGACTGCTTTAATGTATTAGGCAAAATTTTACATAAAATCAGAAATCTATGATCTGTCCCTGCTCCGATTTGTAAAAAACGCAAGATTCATCAGAAGCCATGTGCAGTCAGACCCCAGCTGGCCAGCAGTGCAGATCTGGAGTCCAGCCTCATGGCTGCACTACTTTCCATTCTCTGCATTGAACATTCATTCTGTCAGCATCCACTCCAGCTTCACTGCGTCAGCAGCAGACTTGCGGATCCCATCAGAGAGCTTCTCCACAGCCATCTGCATCCATTTATTTTTCATTTTTATTTTATTTATTTATTTTTTGAGACAAGGTCTCACTCTGTTGTCCTAGCTGGAGGGCAGTTCACTGTAGACTCAATCTCCCAGCCTCAAGTGATTTTCCCACCTCAGCCTCCCGAGCAGCTGAGACTACAGGCACACACCACCACACCCAGCTAATTTTTTATTTTTTATAAAGACAGGGTCTCACTATGTTGTCCAGGCTGGTCTCAAACTCCTGGCTTCAAGTGATCCTCCCACCTGGGCCTCCCAAAATGCTGGAATTACAGGCATAAACCACCACACCCAGCCCCACTTATTTTTAATAATGTAATGAAGATCTGTGAACCTACCACCAAAATTGTATAGCATCAGTGACAAATTTAATCTACCAATATTCTTCTCCCCATCTCATCCCCAGGGAATCACTATCCTGAATTCGTATTTCTTATTCTCTCTCCCTGATGGAGTTAGGGGTTTTGTTATTGCTGTTTTGCTACCGCAGACTGCTGTAAGGAATATCCTTATACATGACTCCTGGTGCTATACAAGAGTTTCTCTTGAGTATATCTAGAGTGGAGTTCCTGGGATATATAAAAATGTCCAGTGTTACAAAATAATAATAATAAATTGGTTTTCAAAGCAGTTGTACCAATTTATACTCCAACCAGCAATGTATAAGCAGTCCCATTGATCCACAGCCTCTTTAATTGTCAGACTTTTCAATTTTGGCCATTCAGATGCAGAATGGGATTTAATTGTCTTGAATTTCATTTCCCTGATTACTAGTAAGATGAGCATCTCTTCAGAAGTTTATTGACTATACATGTTCACATTTTCTCTTCTAAGAACTGTTTGGTCATGTTTCCCCCCCAACCCCGCCTTTTTATTTATTTATTTATTTTGACTGGGCTAGTTGTTCTTTCTTACTAATTTTAATTTTACATAGTCTTTTTCTTTTCTTTTCTTTTCTTTTCTTTTTTTTTTTTTTGAGACAAGAGTCTCGCTCTGTCGCCCAGGCTGGAGTGCAGTGGTGCCATCTTGGCTCACTGCAACCTCCACTTCCTGAGTTCAAGCGATTCTTCTGCCTCAGCCTCCCAAGTAGTTGGGACTACAGGCACACACCACCACGCCTGGCTAATTTTTTTTTTTTTTTTTGTATTTTTAGTAGAGATGGGGTTTCACCATGTTGCCCAGGATGGTCTCGATCTCTTGACCTCGTGATCCACCTGCCTCAGCCTCCCAAAGTGCTGGGATTACAGGTGTGAGTCACCTCACCCGGCCAGTCTTTTTTTTTTCTTTTTTAAGGCTAGACATAATTTTACATATTCTTGACACCTATCTGTTATTGGTTATCTGCATTACAAATGTCTTCTTTGTAGAGTTTGTTTGTTTGTTTGTTTGTTTGTTTGTTTTAAGATGGGGGTCTGTCTCTGTCTCCCAGGCTGGAGTGCAGTAGCAATAACACAGCGCACTACAGCCTGGAACTCCCAAGCTCAAGAGATCCTCCCACGTCAATCTCCTGAGTAGCTGGGACTACAGGCACACACCACCACGTCTGGCTACATTTTTTTTTTTTTTTTTTTTTTGTAGAGACAGAGTCTCACTATGTTGTCCAGGCTGTTCTCAAACTCCTGGGCTCAAGCAATCCTCCCACCCCAGCCTCCTAGAATACTGGGATTACAGGCGTAAGCCACCTCACCCAGCCCTCTGGAGTATTTTTACTTTAAGATTCCTTTTCAGAAAAAGAAGTTCTGGGTTTTAATATAGTCAACTATATCAATCTTCTATGTATGTGTGTGTGTATATATATATATATATATATATATATATATATATATGTATGTGTGTATGTATTTTTAGAGACAAGGCTTGCTCTGTCACCCAGGCTGGAGTGCAGTGGCACTATCATAATTCACTGTTCACTGTAACCTTGAACTCCCAGCCTCAGCCTCCCAAAGGGCTGAGATTACAGGCATGAGACACCATGCCTGGCCTATATCAATCATTTATGGTTAGCACTGTTTTTTTTTTGTTGTTGTTTGTTTGTTTTCAGACAGTCTTGCTCTGTCACCCAGGCTGGAGTGCAATGGTACAGTCTCAGCTCACTGCAACCTCTGCCTCCTGGGTTCAAGCGAGTCTCGTGCCTCAGCCTCCCGAGTAGCTGGGATTACAGGCGTGTGCCACCCACCTAACTAATTTTTTTGTATTTTTAGTAGAGACGGGGTTTCACCATGTTCCCCAGGCTGGTCTTGAACTCCTGACCTGAGGTGTTCTGCCCGCCTCAGCCTCCCAAAGTACTGGGATTACAGGCGTCAGCCACCATGCCCATCCTATGGTTAGCACTTTTAAGGCCTTTGTAAAGAATTACCCCAAAGTCAAAAAGATTTTCACTTACACTTTCTCCTCGAAGTTTCAAAGTGCTATTGTTGATATGGACTTTTGGTTAAAAAGTTGGGTACAAATCCAATTTCATTTTTCCGTGTCTATAACTATGTTTTCCACTTCCATTTATTGAATAGTTTCCCTTTCCCCACCAGGGAGACTGAGGCCAGAGAGATTCAGCAACTTGTCCAAGATCACACAGCTAATAAGTGTCAAACCTAGGCAGTCTCCCTCCAGAATCTGCCATAGTTTTCATCTCTGCAATACTGTCTTTTGCTTCTATTATGTAAATTAAATGCAAATCTCTGGCAGGCTTTCAATTCTATTCCACTCATCATTTTGTCCATTCCTGCATCAACTCCACACTGTTTTAATTTTTAGGGCCTTTTCATAAATCTTGATATCTGGTTGGGCAAGTCATATGGTTTGGATCCATGTCCCTACCCAAATCTCATGTTGAAATGTAACCCTCAATGCTGGAGATGCGGCCTGGTGAGAGGTGATTAGATCATGGGGGCAGTTTCTCGTGGTTTAACACTATTCTCCCTTGATGCTGTCATGGCAATAGTGAGTTCTCATGAGATCTGGTTGTTTAAAAGCGTGTGGCACCTCCCCACTCTTTCTCTTGCTCCTGCTCCTGCCCCTGCCGTGTAAGATATATCTGCTTCCCTTTCATCTTCCACCATGATTGGAAGTTTCCAGAGGCCTCCCCAGAAGCAGATGCTGCCATGCTTCCTGTACAGGCTGCAGAACTGTGAGCCAATTAAACCTCTTTTCTTTATAAATTACCCAGTCTCAGCTGGGCGCAGTGGCTCACACCTGTAATCCCAGCATTTTGGGAGTCTGCGGTTGGTGGATCATTTGAGCTCAGGAGTTCAAGACCAGCCTGGGCAACATGGGGATACCCCATCTCTATAAAAAAAATACAAAAAATTAGCTGGGCATGGTGGCACGTGCCTATAGTCCCAGCTACTGGGGAAGCTGAGGTGGGAAGATCACTTGAGCCTGAGAGGCAGAAGTTGCAGTGAACTGAGATCATGCCACTGCACTCCAGCCTGGGTGACAGAGTGAGACCCCACCTCAAAAAATAAAAATAAAAAATAAATTATCCAGTCTCAGGTATTTCTTTATAGCAATGCAAGAGCAGATTAATACAGCATGTCTAACCACCTTATTCTTTAGAAATGCCTTGGCTATTTTTTTGATCTTTATTCTTATACACATATTTCAGAATCAGTATGTCAAGTTCCTTAGAAATCCCTGTTGGAATATCAGATTGGAGTTGCATTAAATTTATTTATTTATTTATTTATTTATTTATTTATTTATTTATTTATTCATTTATTTATTTATTTTTTAGACGGAGTTTTGCTCTTGTTGTATTTTTGGTAGAGACAGGGTTTCTTCATGTTGGTCAGGCTGGTCTCGAACTCCTGACCTCAGGTGATCGGCCCACCTCGGCCTCCTAAAGTGCTGGGATTACGGGCATGAGCCACCGCCCCCGGCTATCTATTCATTTAAGGAGAATTTATACCTTTATCATTGTTAAGTCTTTCTCACCATTTATTTAAGTCTTTTTAATGCCCTTCAGTTAAATATTAACTTTTTTCCATGCTGGTTTTGCAGTTTTTACTCCTTAGACATTTTATAATGTTCCTTAGATGCTTGTTTTACTGCATTATAAATAGGTCTTTCTCATTACATTCTCTTCACCTGGCGCCCATGTTTCCCAAGGCATCATGGCTGGGCGGCAGGGGTTCTGTGAACCTTCTGAGACCCTATGTGCATTTTGTTGGGGAGTTCTGTACTCCTGCCAGATTCCCAAATAGCAACTGCCACCAGTACTAAATGTTTGTCATGTGACAGGTATTCCCCTGAGCACTTTACAAGCCCCACAACCACCCCGAAACATAAAGGCAGTTATTCTCCTCATTTTCTGGATGAGGACACTCATGCTCACACAGATTAAGTACTTTGCCTGAAGTCACACAGCTGAGAAATTAACAGCCAGCATTCAAACCAGTCTGTCTGACCCCAAAGCTGTACACTTAACCTCTGTACTTGGTAGCCTTCAGAGAGATTGATGGGCCCTGCTCTAGGCCTAGGCACTTGGCCTCTCTGGGCTCCTGTTTGCTTATCTGTAAAATGGGGAAAAGAATTACCTCTTCACCTCCATCTCAGGGCTTTTTGGAGAGTTGCTGAGGCCACAGATGGAAAAGAGGCTCTATAAACTCTAAAGTGCTGCCACGAGGCAGGTGAGGTAGCGGAGAAGGCAGGGGCCCAGGGTTGCAGAGCTGGCAAAGGCCCAGCCCTCTGTCCCATCATCACTGCTAGCTTCCCAGGCAGCCTCTTCCCAGGAGATGGAGGACCCCCAGGCCGAGCTGGGGAGAGGCTGTGTCCCCTTAACACTGCTCTGCGCACCAGGGCCTGGGCTGAGCGAGGTGGAGACACAGAATCAGACATGGCCACGTTGGGGAAGGCCCACATCTGGTGGGTCTGACCTTAATAGATGGTGACAGCAAGGGGTGAAAGTGCCATGACACAGTCAGGCCTGGGGGTGGCAGGAGCACAGAGAGGAGACTGGTCCAGCCCGGGGAAGCCAGGGAAAGCTTCCAGGTTGTTGTGGTATCCAGGTTGTTGTGTTGTGGTATCTTTTTTTTTTTGAAACAAATCCAATGAAGTTTTTTTGTTTTGTTTTGTTTTGTTTTTTGAGACAGAGTCTTGCTCTGTCACCCAGGCTGGAGTGCAGTGGCACGATCTCGGCTCACTGCAACCTCTGCCTCCTGGGTTCAAGTGATTCTCCCATCTCAACCTCCTGAGTAGTTGAGATCACAGGTGTGTGCCACCACGCCCAACTAATTTTTTTGTATTTTTAGTAGAGACAGGGTTTCACTATGTAGGCCAGACTGGTCTCGAACTCCTGACCTCAAGTGATCCATCCACCTCGGCCTCCCAAAATGCTGGGATTACAGGTGTGAACCACCACACCTGGCCCCTGTAGTGGCATCTTGTACCACCCTGGCCAGTTCCCCTTCCCTAGACGACCATCACCCACCTTCACTTAGGGCTTCCTCCAACCCAGCCCTAGGAAGCAGCCAGGTCAACTTCTGAAGATGTGCCCCTGTCTAGAACCCTTTAGTGACCTCTGCTGCCCTTACAACAAAATCCATAGTCCTCCCTATGGTCTTTCATCTGGCCCCTGCCCCTCCTTTCCTGGTCTTGCCCCACACTCACTACACTCCAACTCCACTGATTTCCTCAGACTCACCCAGCTCTCTCCTGCCTCCACCGCAGCACTGCTGGGCCCTCTGCCTGGAGCAGCCCCTGCACCCCCCAACATAAACACACACACTCTCCCTGGAAAGCTCCTTCTCACCCCTGGATCTCAGCTTACATGGCTCCTCCTCAGACCTCAGAGACACCTTTCCTGACCACCCCATCTAAAGAAGGCTGCCGTCTCAAAAAAAAAAAAAAAAAAAAAAGAAGAAGAAGAAGGCTGCCCCAGGCTTTCTATTCTCTGTCTCAGCCCCTTGTTTCTTTCCTAGCTTCTATTATAACTTCCAATTATTTTGTCTAGTTCTTGTTCTCTCTCCTGTCTCTCCTATCCCTTCCCATACAAATGCTTCATGAGGGCAAGGGTCATGCCTGCTTATTCTCAATAGTCTCCTCAGTGCCTGGCCACAGCAGATACTCAAAAAATATTTGTTGGATGAATGAATGAATTAGCAAATGAATGAATGAATGAATGAATGAATGAATGAATGAATGGACTGGATCTTAAAGGAGCTCGAGCTGCACTGCCCAATACAATAGCCACTAGCGACATGTGGCTATTTAAATTTAAATGAATTAAAAGTAAATAAATTAAAAATTCAGCCCTTCAGTTGCACTAGTCATATTTCAAGGACCCAACAGCTACATGTGGCTCATGGCTACCATATGGGATAGTAGGGATATAGAACATATCCGTCATTCAGGACATTCTACTGGACAATGCCACTCTGCATTATCTTAAAGGCAGAGAAGGTGGACCGGGCATTAGGAGCAGGGGCACAGCATGTACCAAAACCTACAAGTGGGAGAGCATAGTAATGGTGTGCCCTGGAATAAAGAAGGGGGGCACTTCGCCCCATCTCTACACAGCCCTGTTTCTTATTAGAAACTTTGGCTTAAGGCAAGGGAGGATATTGGAGCAGGGAGAGTTCTGAGACAAGCTGGTTCCATCCATCCCCATCAGAAGCGGAGACTGTGACCCAGACCGGGAAGGGATTTACTCAAGGTCATAGAGAAAGTCGCATAAATGGGGCCAGAACCTGAGGCTCCTGATTCCTGGTGAATGGAGTCAGTTTCCCCCTACCAGGCTCATAACCACCTCCTCCCTCCTTCCTGGGTCCCGTCCCCCGACTGCCAGGCCATCAAGTTCACAGAGCCCCCCAGGTACTTACACTGGCCGCTCTTATCTCTTATTTACTCATTAAAGTAACCCTCCCAGCATCTGACCCTTAGAATTTTAGACATCCCAAGGAGAATAGCTGCTTATAACCATTTGCTAATTGCATGTATGGATGTCAATTAATTCATTTAGCTAATTAGCCACTCGATGAGCACCACGCACCAAAGAACTGTAAAAGACAGGCATATGGTGAGAGAGCGGGATGGCTGGGTGCTCATGCAGCATGCAGGGATGGGGAGGGCAGGCAGTGGCTCCAGCTCCCCACCCCCAGATGAGTGGAGGGAGGCAGCTTAATGGCTGGGGAAACAGAGCTGCCACCGCCACTGCTGTTGCCGCTGCTGCTGGCATAAAGCATAATTACAGCTTCCTACTAATAGTGCCGGGAAAACACACACGCACACACATAATCATGTGCACAGACAAGCACACATATGAACGCATGTGTCTATTTACACATACCCACACTCAGATGCACACAAACATAGCACGCACATATCCATAGGTACAATGTACATGCACACACATGGACACACACAGGTAATGGACATGTGGGATCATGTGAGATCAATCCACAGAAGTGTTCTTAATCCAGTGCTATGCTTGGTGGAGTCTAGAAGGGAATTCTCTTTTATTGCACCCACTTTGTGCCAAGCACTGTGTTCAGCCCTTCCACATACAGTATTACTTAATCCTCACATAATCTCACAAATAATGAATTATTTTCACTCTACAGAAAGGAAACAGAGGCTCAGAGAAGCTAAGACATTTGCACAGGACCACAGCTGGTAAGTGGCAGAGGAAGGGGTGATTTCTTTGCCTCCATGACCACAGGCTGCAGGAGCAGGCGGAGGGAAAGGGGATTTTCATCTGCTTTGGAGAAAATAATCTTTTTGTGGGGGACCAACTGCTTCAGAAGTGAAAATGGGCTGTTCACAGGCTTCATTCCACAGGGCTGAGAAGAAAAATTGAATACTGATGAGAAAGAAGATGGATAGAAGAGAGAGACATGCAACTGGGACTCTAACAGAAATGCCATTCTCCCTGGGAAGGGACTAGCCCAGTCAGCAGCCACCTCACTCCATGAGTTGGTTCTGAGGCACCCTCTGTGCCAGGCAGCTCGGGACACAAGGTGAATTAGATCCAACCTCACAGCCATGTGAGGCAGACAGAGTGACACAGACTCTGTCACCAGAAGAGCAAGCATTTGAACGGGCTGTCAGATGGAGAGCCCAAGCACTTTCTGCTCTAGGTTCCCTCCCTCTGCTGCAGTTGGGAGAGGCTGGGCTGGGAAGCCCACATGAGCCGTTGCAGCTCCCTGCAAGGGACTCTCACCTCCTCTCTCAGGCCTCCTCTCCCTGGGCTCCTGGCCTGGCCCTTCACACCTTTCTCCAACTCCATCATGACTGCAGGCTTTGGCCTTCCCTCAGGAAAAGAACGAATTTTTCTCCACAAAATTCTATAATCTCTTCCAGCCTCTCCTTTTAGCTACTGTCATATCCATTCACCTAAGTGATAACAGAAGACCACAAGTCAGATGACTCATATATTCACCTATTCAATAAACACTCCAGAGCATTCCTCTGGCCTAGGACTGATGAGTCTCACAATCTTCTAAGCAAAAAATAGAACAAAAAACAAAAAAACCTGCCAGACACAATGGCTCCTGCCTGTAATTCCAGCACTTTGGGAGGCCAAAGTGGGAGGATCACTTGAGCTCAGGAGTCCAAGACCAGCCTGGGCAACATGGAGAAACCCTATCTCTACAAAAAATACAAAAATTAGGCAGGTGTGGTGGCATGCACCTCTAGTCCCAGCTACTCAGGAGGCTGAGATAGGAGAATTGCTTGAGTCCAGGAGGTTGAGGCTATAGTGAGCTGTGATCGCACCACCTCACTCCAGCCTGGGCAACAGAATGAGATCCTGTCTCAGCAGAAAAGAAAAGCCCTGTAGTTCAAGTCTTAGCTCACATCAACATGGCTGGGGGAGGTAGCTCATACCTGTAATCCCAGCACTTTGGGAGGCTAAGGCAGGCAGATCGCTTGAGCCCAGGAGTTCAAAACCAGCCTGGGCAACATAGTGAGACCCCCATCTCCACAAAAAAAAAAAAAATAATAATAATAATACAAAAATTAGCCAGGTATGGTGGCACACACCTGTAGCCCTAGCTACTCAGGAGAGGTTAAGGTTGAAGTGAGCTATGATCGTGCCACTATACTCCAGCCTGGGCAACAGAATAAGACTCCATCTCTCTCTCCTTCTCTTTCTCTCTGTCTCTCTCTCTCTCTGTGACAAGGCCTGGCTCTGTCACCCAGGCTAGAGTGCAGTGGCACCATCTCAGCTCACTGCAAACTCTGCCTCCCAGACTCAGGTGATTCTCCCACCTCAGCCTCCTGAGTAGCTGAGACTACAGATATGCACCACCACACCCAGCTAACTTTTGTATTTTTTATAGAGTTTTAAAGTACTAAATTTTAAAGTTCTAAGTTTCACCGTGTTGCCCAGGTTGGTCTCGAACTCCTGACCTCAAGTGATCCGCCCACCTCAGCCTCTCAAAGTGCTGGGATTACAGGTGTGCGAGCCCATCTCTCTCTCTCTCTCTTTTTTTTTTTTTTTTCCTTCTGAGATGGAGTTTCACTCTTGTTGCCCAGGCTGGAGTGCAATGGTGCCATCTTGGCTGACTGCAACCTCTGTCACCCGGGTTCAAGCGATTCTCCTGCCTCAGCCTCCCGAGTGGCTGGGCTTACAGGCGTGTGCCATCACGCCCAGCTAATTTTTTTCTATTTTTAGTAGAAACAGCGTTTCACCATTTTGGCCAGGCTGGTCTCGAACTCCTGACTTCAGGTGATCCGCCCGCCTCGGCCTCCCAAAGTGCTGGGATTACAGGCGTGAGCCACTGCGCCCGGCCAATCCCATCTCTTTAAAAACAAAAACAAAGAAACATGGCATCCAGTACTACCAGTTAAAAATCTTTGTGTTGTAAGTGACAGAAAATCCAACACAAGCAAGCCTCAACAAAGAGGAAATTCACTGGCC
Source organism: Homo sapiens (assembly GCF_000001405.40). Classification (NCBI taxonomy): domain Eukaryota; kingdom Metazoa; phylum Chordata; class Mammalia; order Primates; family Hominidae; genus Homo; species Homo sapiens. The sequence continues at coordinate 54,514,955 of NC_000001.11, read as the reverse complement.
CACATAACTGAGAAGCCCAGGGGTGTTGTGCTGCTTCAGGCATGGCTGATTCAGGGGCTCCAGCAAAGTCACCAAGCCATCTTTCTCCACCCCTTCTCTTACTGGCCCCTGTGTGTTGGCTTCACTCTAAGGATCTACATAATGATGACAGGGCAGCAGCGGCTCCAGCTTCACATCACCTCAGTCAAGTCCACCTGGAAAGAGGGGCTTTTCTTTTTTTTTCTTTTGAGACGGAGTCTTACTCTGTCGCCCAGGCTGGAGTGCAGTGGCGTGATCTCAGCTCACTGCAACCTCCGCCTCCCGGATTCAAGCGATTCTCCTGCCCCAGGCTCCCGAATAGCTGGGATTACAGGCGCCAGCCACCGGGCCCGGCTAATTTTTGTATTTTTAGTAGAGACGGGATTTCACCATATTGGCCAGGCTGGTCTCAAACTCCTGACCTCGTGATCCACCCGCCTCAGCCTCCCACCGTGCTGGGATTACAGATGTGAGCCACGGAGCCCGGCCTGGGCTTTTCCAAGATCTCCTATGGCAGCACTTGGACTCACTCTGATTGGATGCACTCAGGTCACATGCCTACCTCTGAGCCAATCACCACAGGCAGCGGAATGGTATGTTCGGATTGGCTGGATCCAGGGGTGGAGTCCCACCCAAAGCACTTGGACCGGGAATAGGGAGGGGCGACCCCCAAATGTCAGAAGGAGGACTGGATAAGGACCAGGAGGCAAACTACCAATATCCACTACAGTGTTCTAAGGTTTCTTTTTCTTCTTGTTTTGTTTTGTTTTTGAGACAGAGTCTCGCTCTCTCGCCAGGCTGGAGCGTAGTAGGGCGATCTCAGCTCACTGCAACCTCCGCCTCCCGGGTTCGAGTGATTCCCGCACCTCAGCCTCTCCAGTAGCTGGGACTACAGGCTCCCGCCACCATGCCCGGCTAATTTTTGTACTTTTAGTAGAGACGGGGTTTCGCCATGTTGGCCAGGATGGTCTTGAACTCCTGACTTCAAGTAATCTGCTCGCCTCGGCCTCCCAAAGTGCTGGGATTACTGTGAGCCACCGTGAGTAGCCAAGTGTTCTAAGTTTTAAAGGCAAGCAGGGTAGGGATTATCAACCCCATTTTGCAGCTAAGGCTGAGAAAGGAGATATGCCCAATAAAAATTATAGAGGAAGGAATTGAGTCAGGGTTTGAGCCAATTTGACTTAACTTCCACCTTCAGCCCTTCCCCGCAGCAAGCATCCAGCAGTACTCACCAGGCATCCAATCTTGGACACACCACCTTCGTCAGGCTTTGCTTTCTGCAGCCAAGGATATGGGCCTACCGACTGCGTGAGAAAGGCCTCCAAGGCTGAGCACTCGGATATGAGCCAGCTTGCTGTACAAAGCATCAGGACCCCAGCTTGTCCTCACTCCAGGACAAGCTGAAAGCCTGCAACTCAAATCTCCCCGGGGACTTTCTCTCTGCCCCAGGTATGCTGCAGGGCAGGCCAGAAGGGTCCAGAATCAGCTCTCAGCAATGACCAGTGGCAGTTGGAGGATACATACACCAGCTTCTTTGCCTCTTGAGTAGGATTACAAGGTGGGGTCTGTTTTACCCAGAGCCCCAACGTGGTGACGAGCCTGATCACACAGCCTTCATCACTGTCTTCCCTTCATCTCATTTGCCCATCTCTCTCCCAAACAAGCTTTCATTCTAATCCTTGTAGTGGGATCTGTGTATGGGAAAACACAACTTAAGGCACCCCCCCCCCCCCCCTTCTACTAAATCAGGGTAGGGGAAGCCTGAAGGGATTCATCTAGGTAGCTGATTTTCAAGTATGTTTCTAGTAGAACCCTTTTTTCAAATGCCTTTCTTCCCTGTCTCTTTTGTTTTTACTCCTCCCCACTCCTGCACTCCAGGACTCTTCCCTTCCTCTCCTTTGCTCCCATTAAGTCCCAAATGTCCCAGATCGCCTGTTGAGTCTTGTGACTTCACAGTCCCTGGCATGTTCTAAGTCAAAGGCATTTTCTTCTCTGCCAGGTTGTCTACTGAGGGGAGGCAGAAGCTTTGGGTCCTGTGGGTGGTGATGGAGGAGGCCATGGAGTATGAGTTGCCGTTTGCTCTCTCTGCTTGCATCTAAGAAATCAGACACATCCCACACCTCAGAAGCTAGTTTCCTGTTGAAAACCCTCACTGTGTCTACATATTTTCTCTGATAATGTAACTTTGGCCTAATTATGCTGCAGGAATTCTTCACCCTCTCTCACCCTAGGAAACTTTACAGAACCGTCTTACATGAACCCAACATTGGAGAGGACCGTGCCAAAGGGGTCCAGGCTGATTGAGTACTGGGTTTCTCCCCCAGCTTCATAGGGGATATGGGAACTCTATCTTTCTATCCCTTTCATCTGCTTCCCCACCCTCTCCCTCTCAAGGGTCATCTTCCTCTAGGGTATTTGGAAATAGGGGTGCTATGGTTTGAATGTTTGTCCTCTCCCAAAATTCATATGTTAAAACGTAATCCTTAATATTGTGTGATAACATTAAGAGGTGGAGCATTTAGGAGGTGATTAGGTCATGAGGGTTCTACCCTCATAAATGGGATTAGTGCCCTTATAAAAGAGGCCCCAGACAGTTAGCTTGCCCCTTCAACCAAGTAAGGATATAGCAGGAAGGCACCGTCTTTAAAGCAGAGAGCTGGGCCGGGCACAGTGGCTTATGCCTGTAATCCCAGCACTTTGGGAGTCCAAGGCAGGCGGATCACAAAGTCAGGAGATCAAGACCATCCTGGCCAACATGGTGAAACCCCGTCTCTACTAAAAATACAAAAATTAGCTGGGCGTGGTGGCGTGCGCCTGTCATCCCAGCTATTCGGGAGGCTGAGGCAGGAGACTCGCTTGAACCCGGGAGGCAGAGGTTGCAGTGAGCCGAAATCACACCACTGCACTCCAGCCTGGCAACAGAGCAAGACTCCTTCTCAAAAAAAAAAAAAATTGCTGAGAGCCTTCACCAGATGCTAAATCAGCTGGTCCCTTGATCTTGGACTTCCCAGCCTCCAGAACTTTGAGCAATAAATTTCTATTGTTTATATATTACCCTACTCTAAGGTATTTTGTTATAGCAGCTTGAACTAAGGGAGTATGCAGTTATCACATGCTGTGCAACAAATAAATACCAAATTTTAGTGATATAACACAACTGTTTATTATGCTTACAAATTTTGTGGGTCAGAACTTCAGGAAGCTGGGCAGTTCTCATTTGGGACCTCTCATGCGGCTGCAGGCAGATATCAGCCAGGTCTGCAGTTATCTAAAGGCTTGACCAGACCCAAAGATGCACTTCTAAAGTGACCCATTCACATGGCTGGCAGGCAGGTGCCAGCTGCTGGCCAAGGGCCTCAGCTCCTCTCCCTGTGGGCTTCTCCACAGGGTCGCTTGAGTGTTCTCACAGCATGGCGGCTGGTTTCCCCCAGAGCAAGAGAGCCAAGGATCCAAAGAAGAAGCCACAATGCCTTTTATGACCCAGTCTTGGGAGTCACATCTTCACTTTCATCTTATGCTATTGGTCCCACAGAGCCAGCCCTGATTCAGTGTTGGACAGAACTACACAATGATGTGTGGGTTACTGGGGCCATCCTGGAGGCTGGCTACCACAGGAAGTGTAATTTGAGTCCTCAGGATTGCTGTGTGTAGTCATGTATTCTGAGAATTCAGGGCAGTAGAAGCACACAGGTCCACAGCAGGGTCTCCAAAGCCCTTGTCAGATGTCACTGTCAGGAACATTAATCAGCCATCCCCTCACAGTGTCCCTCTCTCAGGCCATGTTCCTCTCACAAGCTCACAGGACTCTCCTAACCCATCCCTCCCCACCCATGTTGTCCATAGGGAAGCCCCATCACCTACCTGCTGCCCATGGGCCTCTGGAGCCCTGGGAAGGTTGCAGGGAAGAATCGGCTGTATTACTAATCAGGCTAGGTTAGTCAATGGGGGGCCTTCTACCTATCCCCAGCTATTGACACAGACTGCAGGACAAGTCCTCTAACCCCAAGAACAGTCAAAAAAGGACAGAATCTGCCCCCCAGAGGCTGCCTGCACTTCACCTGAAGGCCTCTAAGTCAAAGAGAGAGACTCCCAAGTAAGAACTGCCCAGCTAGCAGTTCCACATAATCTGCGAGCACAATGCTTGATTGTTTTATGCCACTAAGTTTTGGGCTAACTTGATACAAAGCACAAAATAACCAGACACCCGTTCTCTCCAAATACACTGCATTTTGTTTTGTTTGTTTTTGTGGGGTTTTTTAGTTTGTTTTTCGGGTTTGGTTTGGTTTGGTTTGGTTTGGTTTGGTTTGGTTTGGTTTGGTTTTTTTGAGGAAAGGTCTCACTCTCACCCAGGCTGGAGTGCAGTGGTACAATCTCGGCTCCCTGCAGCCTTGACCTCCCAGGCTCCAGTGATCCTCCCACCTCAGTAGCTGGGATTACAGGTGCACGCCACCATGCCCAGCTAATTTTTGTATTTTTTGTAGACAGGGTTTCCCCATGTTGCCTGGCTGGTCTCAAACTCCTGACCTCCAGTGATTCGCCCGCCTTACCCTCCCAAAGTGCTGGGTTTGCAGTCATAGTCACCGCGCCTGGCCCCAAATACACCACATTTTAAAGCAGTGATTCTACCCCAAGCTCACCTGCCTCCCTGTGGTTTTATCAATGAAATGTGGAATAAACAAGAGGAGTGGAGAGAGAAGCCGAGAATGTTCATTCCAACATACCTTCAACTATGGGCCGAGAAGGGGAAACAGAGGCAGGAGGAGACACCTCTGCAACACACACCTACATACCTGTGCCTTTTTCCTTTCTACCCTCTGCCCAGCTGGGTAGAGCTCCCCAGTTCCTGCTGCTTTTTTATTTTGAGACAGAGTCTCGCTCTGTTGCCAGGCTGGAGTGCAGTGGTGCGATCTCGGCTCATTGCAACCTCCGCCTCCCAGGTTCAAGCAATTCTCCTGTCTCAGCCTCCCAAGTAGCTGGGACTACAGGCACAAGCCACCATGCCCAGCTAATTTTTGTATTTTTAGTAGAGACGAGGTTTCACCCTGTTGGCCAGGATGATCTCGAGCTCCTGACCTCATGATCTGCCCACCTTGGCCTCCCAAAGGGCTGGGATTACAGGCGTGAGCCACTGCACTCGGCCTTCCTGCTGCTTCTTTATGCAGTTTAGATCTTTCTCCTTCCTCCCCACCACCCAAGAAATCAAGCCAGGAACCTCGAGAAACAGAGCCTTCTTGTCCAGCCTCCACTTTTGGCAACACCAAGAACCAGCAGAAGCTGGGACATTACAGCTTGTTCCTGAGCTTATCTCGAATGAAAATGGCAGGCTACGACCTATGCAACCAGCCTCAGGTGGGTAGGGTAGAAGTGGGTAGATTGCAGGTGGAGGGGAAAATCTCCTATTTCTTGAGTTTGACCACACCTGGAAGGAAAAGCATCAACTATTTTTAACGAAACAGGGAGATTTCTTGCGAGGTTACTGAGATAGCCTACAGAACAGCAGGGATCTTGGCATGAATCTGGATGGTAATTCTGAGAACCCTTGGAACTGGGACATTAACAAAACTTTCAACGATGGTTATGGCTAGGGAATGGGATCATAGAGGACTTATGCTTCCTTCATAGTGTCTGGAGTTCTTTCTTAATAATTATGTATAATCAACAAGGATGACATTTCCATTTAGAAACATAAAAGAGGAGGCTGGGTGTGGTGGCTCACGTCTGTAATCCCAGCACTTTGGGATTACAGTGAGGGTGGATCACTTGAGGTCAGGAGTTTGAGACCAGCCTGGCCAACAAGGTGAAACCCCATCTCTACCAAAAATACAAAAATTAGCCAGGCATGGTGGTACGCACCTGTAGGCCCAGCTACTCAGGAGGATGAGGCATAAGAATCGCTTGAACCTGGAAGGCAGATGTTGCAGTGAGCTGAGATCACGCCACTGCGCTCCAGCCTGGGCGACAGAGCAAGACTCTGCACCCCCCAACAACAAAAAAAAAAAAAAAAAAGAAAAAAGAGGTGTGAGCCAGGCGTGGTGGCTCACCCCTGTAATCCCAGCCCTTTGGGAGGCCAAGGCGGGTAGATCATTTGAGATCAGGAGTTCAAGACCAGCCTGGCCGACATGGTGAAACCTTGTCTCTACTAAAAATACCAAAAAAAAAAAAAAAGGCCTGGCGCGGTGGCTCACGCCTGTAATCCCAGCACTTTGGGAGGCTGAGGTGGGAGGATCACCTGAGGTCAGGAGTTCGAGACCAGCCTCAACATGGAGAAACCCCGTCTCTACTAAAAATACAAAATTAGCCGGGCATGGTGGTGCATGCCTGTAATCCCAGCTACTTGGGAGGCTGAGGCAGGAGAATTGCTTGAACCTGGGAGGTGGAGGTTGCGGTGAGCCGAGATCGCGCCATTGCACTCCAGCCTGGGCAACAAGAGTGAAACTCTGTCTCAAAAAAAAAAAAAAAAGTGCCAGGTGCAGTGGCTCACACCTGTAATCCCAGCACTTTGGGAGGCCAAGGCGGGCAGATCACCTGAGGTCAGGAGTTCAAGACCAGCCTGACCAATATGGTGAAACCCTGTCTCAACTAAAAAATTAGGTGAGTGTAGCACTGGGTGCCTGTAATCCCAGCTACTTGGGAGGCTGAAGCAGGAGAATCGTTTGAACCTGGGAGGCAGAAGTTGTAGTGAGCCGAGATCGTGCCTTTGCACCCCAGCCTAGGTGACAAGAGTGAGACTCTGTCACACACACACACACACACACAAAAAAAAATTAGCCAGGTGGTAGTGGTGTGCACCTGTAATCCCAGCTACTTGAGAGGCTGAAGCGGGAGAATCGCTTGAGTCTGGGAGGCAGAGGTTACGGTAAGCCAAGATCACACCACTGTACTCCAGTCTGGGCAACAGAGTAAGATCCTGTCTCAAAAAAAAAGAAAAAAGAATTCTAAGAGGTCTGAAGCAAGGGGGCATGCCTGGAGCCCCACGACCTCTGCCCTCCCTCAGCACCCCCACCCAGGACACCCCTACTACATGATTTCTCGAAATCATCCAGCCCAGACTTACTATCAGACACTATGGAGTCTAGACCTGTAGAGGGTGCACCTCAGGGCCCACCAGCGCCCCCATAAAGAGAGACCTGGTCCCCACTGCTGGTCTGCCTGCTGACAAATGATGTTGACTGTCCCCCGCCCCCAGCTGTGACTCCCAGGCCCATCTATCAGCCACCCAGCCAGCGCGATTGGAGTTTAATTATGTCATGACAGGAGTGATTACAATTGTTAATTACCTTCCAGCCATCAGCAGCTTCTGCGGGTCCTCTGCCATGTGACAGCTGCCACGCCCACCCTGTGCCTGCACATACTACTCCTGGCCTCGTCAACCACCCAGCCGTGCTGCCAAATGCCCTGGGACACAGCAATGGGCATTTCTGTGAGCATCTCCCCAAGACCCTGGCACTCTGAAGGCCTGAGTGTTCTCCCCCTGGTTTAATGTATAGAACCCATGCCATCAGCGTCCTGAAGGGAAACACCGACCACATCACTTTCTGCTCACAGTCAGTGGCTCCCCACTGCCACAGCATAGGCCAGACGTGGTAGTGCACACCTGTAGTCCCAGCTACTCAGGAGACTGAGGTGGGAGAATTCTGAACTTCAAGACTATACTGCACTATGATTGTGCCTATGAATAGCCACTGCATTCTAGCCTGGGCAATGTAGTGAGACCCCATCTCTCAAAAATGAAATAATGTTCCATGAGGAGCATCCACAGAGGAAGGTCCCTACCTTCCTCCAGTCTTGTCTCCATCGCTCCGCTCCACACACCCCGCAATAGAACTGCCTGCGTCCCCAGCCGTGCCTCAAATGTTCCCAGCTCCGTTCCTTGGCCTGTGCCATTCCTCCACCTGGAAAGCCCTTCACCCCAGTTCCATGCTTTCAACTTCTACCTGTTCTTCCAGGCCTGCATCAAAACTCTGTGGAATATGGCCCAGACCCTCGGTCCCACCCCCGACTGACTTTGGCCCCCTTGGGTCTCCTGTGGCGCTTCCTCTGACCCTCCTTTCTCTCACACCAACCCTGTCCTGTCTCCCCCACGGCAGTGAACTCCTGGGCTGAAGCCCCAGCCCAGGGCCTAGTGTGCAGCAAGTGCTCAGAATGAGTGGATGAATGAGTCAGAGCAGGCCCGGGTGGGGGAAGCAAAAATGTCCCAGAGTGGAGGCAGGGTGGCCACTGCTTCCTCCTCAGGGGAACTCTGTGCCCCCAAACACCATGTTACACAGGAGGAGCAGCTTTCTTGCTGTGTCCCCACTGGCCCCTCCAGCCCTCCTTCACCCTAACTGAGCCATCAAAACTGCGAACTAGCAAAACTGCAAGCTGAATTCTGCTACTCCTTGGCTTAAAACTCTCCTCACCTCAGAAATTCCTTAGTTTGGTGCCCAGGCTCTTCATGTCCATGGTGGGTACTTGCAGAGCTGCCTGATCAGCTCACCACCACCCCTCTCCTGTGTACCCCACACACCCTCCCCCATCACAGAGGATTCAGATGGACCCTGGTCCACACTCTGCCAATCAGACTATCTCTCTTACCCTGGGAATAAAGCTTCCAAGATGTGGAATGTGTGTAAATGCTGTAGGGGAGATTATGGTCCCCTCGGAGCCCAGAAAATACAGAGGAAACTGGGCTGCAGAGAGGCAAATAAAAGGGCCGAGCATGAAGAAGGGAAAGAAAGAGGGGCACCAGCTGGCCTCAGCGGCTCATGCCTGTAATCCCAGCGTTTTGGGAGGCTGAAGCAGCCAGATCATGAGGTCAGGAGTTCGAGACCAGCCTGGCCAATATGGTGAAACCCCATCTCTACTAAAAATACAAAAATTAGCTGGGCATGGTGGCAGGCACCTGTAGTCCCAGCTGCTCGGGAGGCTGAGGCAGGAAAATCGCTTGAACCCGGACGCGGAGGTTGCAGTGAGCCGAGATCACGCCACTGCACTCTAGTCTGGGCGACAGAGCGAGACTCCGTCTCAAAATAAAGAAAGAAAGAAAAGAAAGAGGGGCACCGAGAGACAAAACACATTCAGGTGGCTCTGCCAGCCTACCCTATGCCTTCTCCAGACCTGGTTCCCCTGGATCCGGGAGGCTCTTGTCTCCTTTAAACATTGTTTGTTTGTTTGTTTCTTTCTTTCTTTCTTTCTTTCTCCCTCTTTCTTTCTCTCTCTCTCTCTCTTTCTTTCTCTTTCTTTCACAGAGTCTCACTCTGTCACCCAGGCTGGAGTGCAGTGGCGCAATCTTGGCTCACTGCAATCTCCACCTCGCAGGTTCAACTGATTATCCTGCCTCAGACTCCTGAGTAGCTGAGACTACAGGCATGTGCCACCACGGCTGGCAATTTTTTTTTTTTTTTAGACGGAGTTTCTCCCATCACCCAGGCTGGAGTCCAGTGGTGTGATCTTAGCTCACTGCACCCTCCGCCTCCTGGGTTCAAGCGATTCTCCTGCCTCGGCCTCCCAAAGTAGCTGGGACTACAGATGCCTGCCACCACGCTCAGCTAATTTTTTGTATTTTTAGTAGAGATGAGGTTTAGCCATGTTGACCAGGCTGGTCTCGAACTCCTGACCTCAGGTGATCCACCCGCCTCGGCCTCCCAAAGTGCTGGGATTACAGGTGTGAGCCACTGTGCCCGGCTTTCTTTCTTTCTATTTTTATTTCCCCCCAAGACGGAGTCCTGCTCTGTCACCCAGGCTGGAGTGCAGTGGCGCGATCTCGGCTCACTGCAACCTCTGCCTCCTGGGTTCAAGCAATTCTCCTGCCTCAGCTTCCTAAATAGCCAGGACTACAGGCGTGTGCCACCATGGCTGGCAATTTTTTTTTTTTTTTAGACGGAGTTTCTCTCTTGTCACCCAGACTGGAGTGCAGTGGCGTGATTTCAGCTCACTGCACCCTCCGTCTCCCGGGTTCAAGCCATTCTCCTGCCTCAGCCTCCCAGAGTAGCTGGGACTACAGGTGCCTGCCACCACGCTCAGCTAATTTTTTTGTATTTTTAGTAGAGATGAGGTTCCACCATGTTGACCAGGCTGGTCTCAAACTCCTGGCCTCAGGTGATCCACCCGCCTCAGCCTCCCAAAGTGCTGGAATTACAGGCATGAGCCACCGTGCCCAGCTTTCTTTCTGTTTTTTTTTTTTTTTCCCCAAGAAAAGAGTCTTGCTCTGTCGCCCAGGCTGGGGTGCAGTGGCGTGATCTTGGCTCACTGCAACCTCCACCTCCCGGGTTCAAGCAATTCTCCTGCCTCACCCTCCCAAGTAGCTGGGATTACAGGCACCCGCCACCATGCTCGGCTAATTTTTGTATTCTTAGTAGAGACGGGGGTTTCACCATGTTGGCCAGGCTGGTCTCGAACTCTTCACCTCGTAATCCGCCCACCTCAGCCTTCCAAAGTGCTGGAATTACAGGTGTGAGCCACCGTGCCCAGCTTGGCTTTCTGGTTTTTTGTTTTTGTTTTTGTTTTAGGTGGAGTTTTGCTCTGTAGCCAGGCTGGAGTGCAGTGGCGCAATCTCGGCTCACTGCAACCTCTGCCTCCCGGGTTTGAGCGATTCTCCTGTCTCAGCCTCCCGAGTAGCTGGGACTACAGGCGTGCGCTACCGTGCCCAGCTAATTTTTGTATTTTTAGTAGAGACGGGCTTTCGCCATGTTAGCCAGAATGTTCTCGGTCTCTTGACCTCGTGATCCACCTGCCTCGGCCTCCCAAAGTGCTGGGATTACAGGTGTGAGCCACCAAACCCAGCCTCTTTTTTTTTTTTAAACAGAGTCTAGCTCTGTCACCCAGGCTGGAGTGCAGTGGTGTGATCTCAGCTCACTGCAACCTTCGCCTCCCTGGTTCAAGTGATTCTCCTGCCTCGATAGGGTTTTGTCATGTTGGTCAGACTGGCCTCAAACTCCTGGCCTCAAGTGATCAGCCCACCTGGGCCTCCCAAAGTGCTGGGATTACAGGCATGAGCCACAGCACCTAGCCTTTCTTTCTTTTTTTCTTTCTTTCTTCCTTTCTTCCTTCCTCCCTTCTCCCTTCCTTCTCCCTCCCTCCTTCCTTCCTTCCTTTTGTTACAGGAAAGGAGCCCCCATCCAGACCCCAATAGAGGGTTCTTGGATCTCGTGCAAGAAATTATTCGGGGCAAGTCCTCAGTGCAAAGTGAAAGCAAGTTTATTAAGAAAGTAAAGGAATAAAAGAATGGCAGCCGGGTGCGGTGGCTCATGCCTGTAATGCCAGCACTTTGGGAGACCGAAGCTGGCAGATCACCTGAGGTTGAGAGTTCAAGACCAGCCTGACCAACAGGGAGAAACCCTGTCTCTACTAAAAATACAAAATTAGCCGTGTGTGGTGGTGCATGCCTGTAATCCCAGCTACTTGTGAAGCTGAGGCAGGAGAAATCACTTGAACCCAGTAGGCGGAGGTTGTAGTGAGCCAAGATCACGCTATTGCACTCCAGCCTGGGCAACAAGAGTAAAATTCTGTCTCAAAAAAAAAAAAAAGACTACTCCATAGACAGACAGAGCAGCCCAGAGGGCTGCTAGTTGCCCATTTTTATGGTTATTTCTTGATGATATGCTAAAAAGGGGTGGATTATTCATGCCTCCCCTTTTCAGACCATATAGGGTAACTTCCTGACGTTGCCATTGCATCTGTAAACTGTCATGGCGCTGGTGGGAATGTAGCGGTGAAGATGACCAGAGGTCAGTCTCGTGGCCATTTTGGTTTTGCTGAATTTTGGCTGGCTCCTTTACTGCAACCTGTTTTATCAGCAAGGTCTTTATGACCTGTATTTTGTGCCGACCTCCTGTTTCATCCTGTGACTTACAGTGCCTTAACCGTCTGGGAATGCAGCCCAGTAGGTCTCAGCCTCATTTTACCCAGCTCCTGTTTAAGACAGAGTTGCTCTGGTTCACACGCCTCTGACACTTTCTTCCTTCCTTTCTTTTCTTTCCTTTTCTTTCTTAGACAAGGTTTTGCTCTCACGCAGGCTGGAGTGCAATGGCACAATCATAGCTCCCTGCAGCCTGGAATTCCTGGGCTCAAGCAAGCCTCAGTCACCTGTAGTCTCTGGGACTAGAGGGGTGAGCCACCATGCCTGGCCAGTTAAGCTGATTTCTGTTAAATGTGTAACAAAATGGAGGAAATTTTGTTCTCCCAGACATGTCTAGTTTGGAAGAAACACCGTATGTATCTGGAAGAAATACTTTGAAAAGCCATTTGGAGTGTGGTGGGGATGTGGGGGAACAAGTTCCAAGGTCTTGTCCACATTCCACAAAGTGGGGAGGCTGCCTTCTGAGAGGCAGACGGGAGCACCATGCTGCTTCTAACAATAGTCTGGAGTGGGGACTCCTGAAAACCAACCATCTCAGTTTCAACCACACCCCTGCCACTTATTGACTGTGCTTGGAGACTGGGCTGGTTATTTCTGGTGTTGGTTTCCTCATCTGTAAAGTGGGGATGATGATAATTGTACCCACCTCACGGGGCTGTGGTAAGGATTCACTTGAGTTAATATAAGGGAAGTACTTAGTGCCTGTTAACTAGCAAACACCCAAGTGTTAGCAACGTCAGAAAACGACGCTGTTGACATAAAATCCCTGTTAACTGGAGTGCTGGGGGAAACTGAGGCATGCAAGTCTGAAGCCAGGAGCTGAGGCACAGGTGAAGTTGAGAAAAAAGAGATCGAAAGCAGAATATTCCCCCTACTATGTTTCAGGGCACGTTCTGGGTACCAGGCAGCAGAGTTTCAATCCTAGAGGGAAACAGGCAATAAATAAGGAATCTTCAGACGATGCCACAAAGACAGCAGATGCTGGTAATGTGATGGAGGCTGGCTGGAGGCTTTTCTGGATCAGGCGGTCAGGGAAGGCCTCCCGGAGGAGGTGGCTAAGAGAGGACTAAATGCCTAAAGGCACCAGCCATGCAGAGGGAAGCCACAAGGAGGGACCAAAGGCTGGTGAGGGAGGCAGGAGAGAAAGGGCCCAGCAAGGCAGGGAGTGGTGTGTGAAGTCGGGGGAGCCACCCCAGGACAGGCAGCTGAGCAGAGGAATGGGAGAACAAAAAAACAAAGGTGGCTCTTTTTAGGTTCTTTGCTGTAGGGCATGAACAGAAATGGCCTTGTCCATCTTTGCTTTAATCTTCAGTTCATCCCACTTGCTCATTAATGCTTTTGGGTGGCTCAGTTCTCTTGTGGGAAAGGAGTCAGGGAAGTTCAGTGAGGAACAAAAACCGAAGAACAGACATGGGTACACAGTGGGGTCCCGGGCAGGTCCCTGCAAGCCCATCTGACTCCAATCTTAGCCCTTCCTGAAAAGATTCCACAAAAGTCCATATTCATCCAGGGGCCAAGACTGGTTAGCCCTCTGCAAGGAAGAAGCTGAGAGAAGTCACTTTTGTCCTGAGGGCCTGCTGAAGGCCAGGAGTCTCCCTCAGTGGCCTCCAGTGAGGAGTCGGGGGAGCACTGGTTTGGGAGTCAGTTGAGCAGACAGTGTTTCAGTCTTGCTCTGCCGCTTATATCGTGGGTGCTTGGGCAAGGCACTCAACCACCCTGCCCTATACCATAGAGTGACAGTTCCTGGGTAGGGTGAGTGGACCTTGGCACTGTGTAATGGGGTATGAATCCCAAGAGGCCCATAGTCAACCTACTGTCCTTCCTGGGGGATGGGGTCAGTGGGACGGTCGGTATCTTCTCCATTGAGAAAAGCAGTGACAGCTACCCCTTGCTGAGCACCTTCTAGGTGTCAGCCACGTGCTAAAGAAAACGCAGCAATAAAGACTAGAAAACACAGGCCGGGCACAGTGGCTCTCACCTGTAATCCCAGCACTTTGGGAGGCCAAGGCAGGTGGATCACCTGAGGTCAGGAGTTCAAGACCAGTCTGACCAATATGGTGAAACCTGTCTCTACTAAAAATATAAAAATTAGCCGGGCATGGTGGCATGCGCCTGTAGTCCCAGCTGCTTGGGATACTGAGACAGGAGAATTGCTTGAACCCGGGAGGCGGAGGCCGCAGTGAGCCGAGATTGTACCACTGCACTCCAGCCTGGGCAACAGAGCCAGACTCGTTTCCAAAAAAAAAAAAAAAAATTACTAAAAACACAAGAAAGAGCACTGGCCAGGCGTGGTGGCTCGGTGCCTGTAATCCCAGCACTTTGGGAGGCCAAGTCGGGTGGTCACCTGAGGTCAGGAGTTCAAGACTAGCCTGGCCAACATGATGAAACCCCGTCTCTACTAAAAATACAAAAAATTACCGGGCATGGTGGTGTGCACTTGTAATCCCAGCTACTCAGGAGGCTGAGGAAGGAGAATCGCTTGAACCCAGGAGGCAGAGGTTGCAGTGAGCCGAGAATCACGCCACTGCATTCTAGCCTGGGCAAAAAAAACTAAACTCCGTCTCAAAAAAAAAAAAAAAAAAAAAAAAAAAGAACGAGCACCAAGCGCAATAGTTCTACTACCGAGCAGGTCCCCCAATCCACCAGCAAGTCCAGGCTCTGGGGGATGTGAATTTGTTGAGGAAAAATGAAGTTAGTCTTTTAAAGCCCAAATACCACGTACTGTCCCTGCCCGGCGTGAAAAAAGCAAAGCCTCTGAAGTGGGGCTTGTCAACAGGTAAGGGCTGTAGGCGCAGGCTGCCTGTGTCGGGATATTATGGTGCCCAGGTGTCCCTGCTGTGCACACCGCTCCCCCGCCCCCGCTCCCCGAGCCAGGGCGGAGTTATGCACCCAGCAGGTCCACCCCAACCAACATGAACAGGGTTATCACTGTGCAGAACACCACATACATTATCACAGATCCCCACAACAACCCCACCAAATGGGAAACTGAGGCCCAGAGATTTCCCGGAGCTCACAGGTGGCTGGGCTCGGATTGGAACCTAGATCTGTCTGGCTGCAAAGGACCTAACTGACGCCTGAAGCCACAGAAATGCCAGCTCTGGGGAGATAACAAGCAGGCGGCAGGCAGGCTGAGCTCGGCATCCTCACAAGCTGAGGGATCGGGGAGCAGGGGAGGAGGGGGCGGAAAGGACCAGGCCAGGATGCCGGCGGGGTCCCTCTCAGGCCCCCTGAGGTTGGTAGGAAGCTGGCAGGATGGCACAGGGGTAAGTGTGGGGTTCGCTCCTAGGCTGTAGCGCGGAGGGACAGGCCTCCCGCCTCCCCTCACAAGCTCCCCACCAGGGGTGATTTTTCTACCCAGACCTTGCAACCCCAACCCTCCCCGGGCGACCAGGCGCCCCCAGCCTCCCGCAGACGCCCGCCCGCCGACCCTGCTCCCTCCTGGAGCAGCCGGAAGCCGCAGTCGCTCTGCAGACACCCCCTGGTGGAAACAGCTCATTACGGGATGGAGAAAATGTGCTAGAACATTAGCTTAATAAATCAAGCGCTCCCGGAGCCCGGCAGCCGCCGCCGCTCGGCGAGGCGGGGCCGCGGCGCCCACCCGCACTGGGCCTATGGCAGGGGCGGGGGCGGGGTTGGGGGTGCAGGTCCAGAACGCCTGCCTCCCTCTTGCCCTGCGGAGCCACGCTTTGCACCCCCATCCCGCCGCCGCCTTCGTCCCCCACCTCCTCGATCCGAGCCGAGTTGCCCGTATGGAGAGAAGCCTTGGGAGCCCCAGGACGCCAGGGGTTTGAATCCTGGCATTGCCACTTGCTAGATTGCGACCTAGAACCGGGGTCTCCTCGGAGCCTCGGTACCTTCATCTCCACGATGAACCAATAACACACACTGTTGACTGAGGGCCAACTAAGTGCCGGTGCCCTCCCTGACTCATTGCAGCCCGGTAAGATCCAAAGTGCCATCTCCATTTTTCACAATGATGAGTCTTGGAGCCTGTGGCCAATTATTTTTCAGTCCTGGTACCCTCTGCCCATGGTCAGTACCAAGCTGGCTGCCCCCACCTGTGCCCCTAGAGGGTGTTCTGTGAGAAAAAAAGACCTGTTCACAGCCAGGTCCTGCAGGGCAGCTGGATGTGCAGAGCAACAGGCTGGCCCCTACCAACTCCACTGACTCCTAGCCAAGGAAACCCCAACCAACTGCTGTGGCAAAAGGGCTGCCTTCTGCACAGGACTCAGGAGCCCCAGGTTCTCTGTCACTGGCCAGACCTTGTGTCTCTGCAGGACACTGAACGCTTCCCAGTCCCTGCTCCCTGACTTCCTGGGGCAGTGCAAGAGCTGGCCTAGGTGGCCTTTCCCTTCTAGTCCCAAACAAATTCTAACCTCCTGAGTGCCTGATGCAAGTCTCGCTCCTCCCTAGGCCTCAGTTTCCTCCTCTGTACAAGGCTTAGCCCTGGAGGAGCCTAAGGAGGCTCTTGCCTGCCGTTCTACTCTCCTTCCTGCTGGTCTAGGTGGGGGAGGGGGTGCAACCACCAGAGCTCCTTAAGCAGGGAAAACCACTGTCTAGAGAGCTAATTCTTCCTGCTCCCTGGGGGGTGGAGAGAGGGCGAGAGAGAAAAAAAAAATTCAATTACTGGACATCTATTTGTCAACTCCTCCCTCCCCATTGACTTAATTTTCTCTAGCCAGACCCAGAGTCAGAGGAGGCAGGAGGAGTGAGCTGCAGGCCCAGAGAGGAAGGGAGAAAAGAGAGCAGGAGAAGGAATAGGGAGGGAGAGCCCCCAATGGACATGGGGACATGGGGACCAGCCTGTTGGACACACACCACGCTGGGAAGTGTCATGTGGGCCATAAACAAACAAGCAGCACCTAGAGAACAGGAACAGATATTCCTGTGTGCTTCTCCTACCCAGGACTTGGAGCAGCACCACTTTCTCCAGGAAGCCTCCCTGGATCTTTCCAGCAAGTTGGGAGCCCCCTCTGGCTCCCAGAGCCCCCTTGGTTCCCCCTAACACCATATGATATAGTCTGTTCACTTTCATTCATTTATACAACACATATTTGTGGAGCACCTAGTATGTTTCAAACTAAGTGCTAGAAATAGAGTGGAAAACAGTAACCGGAGTCTACCAGGAAAGGCTGATAACAGAATAAATATAAACATATTTGGATTATCTACTGCTGTGTAACAAATATCCCGAAATTTTGTGGCTTAAAATAACCAGTCATTTTTGAATCCCTCATAATTTCTGTGGATTAGGAATTGGGAAAGGGCATGGCTGGGCAGCCCTAGCTTGGGGTCTCCCATGCACTGCAGTCAGACAGTGACTGGAGGCGGCACAGCAGAGGCCAGGGCAGCTGGAGATGGCTGGGTACTGTCTCTTCGGTTAGCTTCTGGGCTTCTCCATGTGATCTCTCTAAACTCCTTTGGGCTTCCTCACAGCATGGCGGTTCCAGGGCGGTCAAAGTGCTTCCCTGGCAGCTAGCTGGCTTCCTCCACAGTGAATTTCCCAAAAGAACAAAGCAGAAGTACAGAGCGTTTTTATGACCTAGCCGCAGTCATAAAAATAGTACCACTTCTGCCACACTCTGTTGGTCAAGGCAATCTTAAAGTTCCACCCAGTTTCAAAGGGAGGAGATATAGCCCCAGCCTCTTGATTTGATGGTGGTGTCAAAGTCACATTGAAAGAGGAGCCATGTGAGATGAGAGATATTATTGTGACCATTTTTGGAAAATACAATTTGCTACAAAACCCGCTTAGATCTAAATAAGACCACCTCAAACCCTCCCTTCATCTTTGCAAGTTAACGCCTCCCCATTTCTGCAAATCCCTCAGGGGCTGACTTATATTTCCATGATCACCTCTGATTCCAAATTCCTGCTTCTGCTGTATTTGATCAATTTTTGGACTCTCTCACCATCCTGTGGGGGCCGACTCTGTCACAAGCCACATGACCTCCACAGAAACTCATTCCTTTCCTCAGTTTCCACAAAATGCTCACCTAAGGCAAATGAGGGCATGTGGGCTCTGCTAAGGACTTAAGGAGACAGAGGAGCATCTCAAGTGACTTGAATGGAATATTAGACATCCCTGTTCATGGCTGAGGTTTATGCCTGGGCCTCTTCACTCTGCATACCTCACCCTATCTCTTATCTCCTCTCTCTACGTCTTCCTCCCAACTCCACCCCCAATTCAAATTATTGTCAGCTAAGCTGAGCAGTTCTCTAGGGTTCCTTGCCTTGAGTTCAGCCCCAGGCACCCTTCAGGATGCTCAATATAAACCAAGGGTCTTCCAAGTTCAGAGCTGCCTCCTTAGTCTCCTTAGTAGGTTGGTGTGGACTCCCTGGTGCAGTGATACATGTTTTTGTCCATTTCCCAAGCCCGGACCATCTAGTAGGACAGGGTCTCTTGTGGGGAACTGCTTTGTATCCATCATCTCATTTAATCTTTAGAATAACTCTATTCTGTCTAGTCTGTCTGCCTCACTGCACTATGAATTCTTAGCAGCAGGGCAGTCTGACTTATTTGGGTCTTGGGGGCCTACACAGGGCCCACCATAGAGTAAGCACTCAGGAAAGGTTTATGAAATGACAGCAATTCAAATGGCAGATGCCATTTGGATCAAGGTGGATCATTTGCCAGACCTCAGGCCCATGAAGCCAACCTGACCACCCCGTGGCTAGAGGACTGACCTGCTCTGAGGCAGCTGCCAGAGGCTGCCTTCAATGGCAATTGTTTGTGGAGCACCCAACAGGCAAACATGATGAAACCCAACAGAAGGTGGGCAAAGGACATCAAAGTAATTCACAGAATAACAAGCAATTTCTGGATTATTAGTGAGTGTAAGTACCTCTTCATACACTTGTTGGGCAACACTCAGTAATAAACCAAGAAACACAAAATTCATGTATTAGCACTTTATACCCATCACGGTGGCAGAAATTAGAGTGGTGGATAATACTAAGTGCTGGCAGGCATGTGGGGTGGTGGGAACCCTTATGTACCGCTGGTGGGGTGCAATATAATTCCGTCATTCTCGAAGCAGCCTAACAATATTGAGCAAAATTAAGTATGTGCATGTCCCACACGTAGCCATTGCGCCCCTGCATATCCCAGGGCAGTTCTCACACAGGTCCGCAGGGGACATGTCTAAGGGTGTTTTGCCAAGTACTCGTTTGTGAGATGAGGAAATTGGAGGCAACAGAGATGTCCATCTTTTTTTTTTTTTTTTTTTGAGACAGAGTCTCCCTCTGTCGCCCAAGCTGGAGTGCAGTGGCGTGATCTCAGCTCACTGCAACCTCCGCCTCCTGGGTTCAAGCAATTCTCCTATCTCAACTTCCTGAGTAGCTGGGATTACAGGTGCACACCACCACGCCCGGCTCATTTTTGTATTTTGCTAGAGATGGGGTCTCGCGGTGTTGGCCAGGCTGCTCTTGAACTCCTGACCTCAAGTGATCTGCCCGCCTCAGCCTCCCAGAGTGCTGGGATAACAGGCTGAGCTACTGCAACCTACCGAGATGTCCATCCCCTGGAGATTGGATGAGTAAAATGTAGTGAACGTGCAAGCGGGAAACTCTATGGCAACTGGAAGCAACACCGAGATCTTCAAACACGCAGAGCTGAGTCGGGGGGAAAATGCTAGAGGAGACCTATAGCACCCAAAACAACACAACATCTTTTACCAAGACACATGCATATTTAAGGTCATAAGTGAGATTCGCTGGAGTGAACGCTCATGGAAAGAGGAGATTAGGGATGGGAGGGGGTGAGAAGAAGGTAAAAACCCAATATGTGTTCATTTTCTATGAGCCTGGCATAGCACTTAGAGATCTGTATCAGCTCATTTAATCTTTGGAATAATTCTATGATGTGGGTACTATTAGTATGTCCACTTTTTCAGAGAAAACAGGCTTATATTGTCCAAGGTCACACAGCTGTGGAAGTAAGCGGAAGGGCCAGGTGTTGACCTGGGTCTTGGCCACCGTGTTGGCCTCCTCCCTACCTGAGTTCACCCCAATACCATCTCTGCTAAATGCCGAATTCGGCTGCACCAGCCAGCCTTGCTACTCCATCTGATGCTATGGCCTCGGGTATCCTCCAGCCCTGCTGGGACTCCCACCCCAGCCTTTGACGCAGCCTTCACCTTTCCTCTGTGAGCCCCTGTGCCCTGGCTGCCCCCCACCTTCAGCTCTGGCCCCTCCAAATCCAGACCAACAAATACTGGCCAGCAACCAGCACCCTCCACCCCTAAAGCACCAATTCCTCTAAAACCAGCTCAGGTCAGTGCTCTATGGAAGCCATTGGCTCTGGACACTAATTCCAACTCTATCTGAGCGTTCAGTGCCCTCCACAACTGGACTCAGCTGATCTGGGCAGTCTCACCTCACCACTATTCCCCTTCATGCTTCTAACGATGACACCATGTCAGACTAAGCTTCTGGCCTTGACATGCCATGGACTTTCACACCTTCCTTGAATGCCTTCTCTCAGCATGATGGCCCCCCACATCCTGTAAGGACCACATTTCCTTGGGAAGCCTCCTTGGGCCCTCCAGATGGCACAGGGGACTAGAATCAGGTCTGGCCAACAAGGGCTTTAGAGACAGGCTACATGTGTCAAGTTCTGGCCTGCCACTCACCAACTGTGCTTCTTTTTTTTTTTGGTTTGTAATAACAAAATAACTATTTCTCAGTGTTTTTTCAGACATAAGGAATATTATACACTTTAGTTGCTCTCTTGGCTTTTTTTCTTTTTAAAAATTGAGGTGTAATTTACATCCATAGATCTTAACTTCAGATAATTCAATGAGTTTTGACAAATACCTTTGTCATTTTGACAGTCATTTTCCCTGTCTTAGTTGCAGTTTCCCCATCTACAAAATGGGATATTATCAACCATATAGGGTTGTTGTAAAAGAGGAAAACCAGCTGGGCACAGTGGCTCATGCCTGTAATCCCACCACTTTGGGAGGCCAAGTCAGGAGGATTGCTTGAGCTCAGGAGTTAGAGACCAGCCTGGGCAACACAGCGAGACCTCATCTCTAAAAAAAATAAGGAGGAAAAACAACATATGACAAGTGGCTAGCACAGTGCCTGGCACACAGCAAGCAGTAAATAAATGTCTGTTACTATTATTATTATTACTATTCGCAGCAGCTTATGCACAGTCTTCAACAACAACAAAAAAACTGAGCATCTACTCTGAGCCCAGGCATGTATGATCTGCAGGAGACCCAGGGTGAGTCAGAGATGGAGGCTGCCAATCTCCTGAGGATGATTAAACTATGTTAGGATGGGTGCTATGATCAAAGGAAGCACAAGGGACAATGGTAGTTCAAAGGAGGAACCAAACCCAAATTTGGGCATCAAGGAGGGCTTCCTGAAGGCAGCGATGCCTTAAGTGGCACCTTGAAAGAGCCACAGTTGAATGAAGAAAGGGCAAGAGGCCTGGAGAACAGAATCCAAGGCAAAGCAAACAATATTAGCCACAGACCTGCTGGGTAGAGGGAATGTGGTATATTGGGGGAACTGCAAATAACTCAATTGGCTGGAGTAAAGGGAATGAGAGGGGTGCGACTGAGAGGAGATGGAACAGCCACCGGAGCAGACAGGAGCCAAAGAAGATTTTTTTTTCTTTTTTTTTTTTTTTGAGACAGTCTTACTCTGTCCCCCAGGCTGGAGTTCAGTGGTGCAATCTCAGCTCACTGCAACCTCTGCCTCCCGGGTTCAAGCAGTTCTCCTGCTTCAGCCTCCCAAGTGCTGGGATTACAAGCGTGCACCACCATGCCTGGCAAATTTCTGTATTTTTAGTAGAGACGAGGTTTCATCATGTTGGCCAGACTGATCTCAAACTCCTGATCTCAGGTGATCCACCCACCTCAGCCTCCCAAAGTGTTGGGATTACAGGTGTGAGCCACTGCACTCGTCCCAAAGAAGAGATTTAAAGGAGGGATTAACAGGGCTTCCAGGTATGTCTTCTATTTTCTTTTTTATTTTTATTGTTGTAGAGACAATGTTTCACTATGTTGCCCAGGCTGGTCTCAAAATCCTGGCATCAAGTAATCCTCCCACCTCAGCCTCCCAAAGTGCTGGGATTACCAGCATGCGCCACCACACCCGACCCAGGTACATCTTTTAGAAAGTTCTCTCTGTGCTTTCTTCATTTTGCCTTGAGCCACTTTATTCTTTACCTACCCCCGTCTGCGAGCTCCTTGAAGGCAAGAACCAGATCTGATTCTTCTTTGGTGCCCTTGTAGCTCCTTTCTGGAATGAGGCAGGAAATAAGAAGATAGGCTGGGATCATTTCTGGGTGGGGCGTGGTGGCTCATACCTATAATCCCAGCATTTTGGGAGGCCGAGGCGAGCGGATTGCTTGCGGTCAGGAGTTCAAGCCCAGCCTGGGCAACATGGTGAAACCCTGTCTCCACTAAAAATACAAAAATTAAAGGCCCAGCACAGTGGCTCACGCCTGTAATCCCAGCACTTTGGGAGGCCAAGGAGGGTGGATCACCTGAGGTCGGGAGTTCAAGACCAGCCTGACCAACAGGGAGAAACCCCATCTCTACTAAAGATACAAAATTAGCTGGGCGTGGTAGCACATGCCTGTAATCCCAGCTACTCAGGAGGCTGAGGCAGGAGAATCACTTGAACCCGGGAGGCGGAGGTTGTGGTGAGCTGAGATCGTGCCATTGCACTCCAGCCTGGGCAACAAGAGTGAAACTCTGTCTCAAAAAAAAAAAAAAAAAAAAAAAAATATATATATATATATATATATATATATATACAGGCCAGGCGCAGTGGCTCACGCCTGTAATCCCAGCATTTTGGGAGGTCGAGGTGGGCAGATCACGAGGTCAGGAGACTAGACCCTCCTGGCCAACATGGTGAAACCCTGTCTCTACTAAAAATACAAAAATTAGCTGGGCGTGGTGGCGTGTGCCTATAGTCCCAGCTACTTGGGAGGCTGAGGCAGGAGAATCGCTTGAACCTGGGAGGCAGAGGCTGCAGTGACCTGCGACCACGCCACTGCACTCCAGCCTGCTAACAGAGCGAAACTCTGTCTCAAAAAAAAAAAAAAAAAAAAAAAAATTAGCTGGGTGTGGTGGCAGTGCCTGTAATCCCAGCTATTTGGGAGGCTAAGGCAGGAGAATCACTTGAACCCGGGAGGCGGAGGTTGCAGTGAGCCAAGATCGTGCCACTGCAGTCCAGCCTGGGCAACAAGAGTGAAACACCATCTCCAAAAAAAAAAAAATTAGCCAGGCATGGTGGCGGGCGCCTTTGTCCCAGCTACTCAGGAGGCTGAGGCAGGAGAATCGCTTGAGCCCAGGAGGCAGAGGTTACAGTGAGCTGAAATCATCGTGCCAGTGCACTCCAGCCTGTGCAACAGAGCAAGACTCCGTCTCAAAAAAAAAAAAAAAAGTCACTTCTGCATCCCCAGGAACTGGTTTCAAGAGGGAGAGTGTTCCCAACATGCAGTCCAGCCCAGGGCTCAGGGCCCTCTGTGGCTCCCGGTGACCTGCACATGGAAGTCCCAGTGCTCTAAGCCAACACACAGGGACCACCTGGACCCGCCTCCCTCCAGCTTCATCTCTCTCTACACCTCAGCTACACTGTCTTATCACTGCCCTAGGAGTCATGCTCTCTCAGGACTGTGCCTACCCACCAAGCTCCCTCTCCCTGGAGTCTTCCCCATTTACCTCTACTCCTCTCTCTGCACTCAGCACAAGCCCCCTCTCCTGCAGGAAGTCTTCCTTGATTTCCCCCCAGGGTGGGTAAGAGTCCTCTTAAAACCCCATTCTGCCAATAATCATTCCGTGACCAGGCTAAGGGTCTCCCCGACAGGTCTGTGGGCTGTTTGCAGAGAAGGGCTGGAGTTATCCACCTCAGTCTCCCCAAAGCCGGGCAGGACCTGACCGATGACCTGTGTGAGCCCAGGGAGCGTGGCAGGCTCCAGAAGTCACATGCAATGTCACCAAGACAGAAAATCTGTGTCAGGGAGAGACTCCAAATAAGGCTGCAGAGGCAGGCAGGTCCAGGTGCCAGAGGGTTGGCCATGAGGGCAGCAGGAGGCAGGGCCAGGCCGGGCTTCACAGGAGAGGTTCCCAGACAGTGTTGGAGGAAGGCCTTGAGGGGACAGTTTAGAGTCCCTGGGAGATCAGGGGACAGTGGCTGAGGAAACGGGATGAGAGATATTTAAGGGGAGAAAGGCCCAGACTTGGTGCCTGAGTGCTCGTGGGCAGTGAGGGAGAGGGAGGACTCCAGATGACTCCCAGAGCAGTTCCCCTGGTCTCTAGGGACAGGGAGGATGCTAGCAGCAAGCTCGGACACCAGTTACCTTGGACACAAATAACCCCTACGGACTCTGCCCCTGCCAGCGCAGAGCTGCAGCCTCTGACAGCGCCTCAGCAGCAGCCAGCAGCGCCCCAACCCCGTCTTCCCCAGGGGTTGACTTGACGCTCTGCTGGCTCCGTGCCTATGGCTCCCTCCCGCAGTCAGCTCTGCGCCTGCCAGGAGGGGAGGGGAGGGGAGGGGAGGGAGGGAGGGAGGGAGGGGCGGCTGCAGGAGCCCTGCAGGGAGGGAGGAAGGGAAGGCGGGAGGAAGCCAGCCTGCAGACCCCAACCTAGAAGGGAAGGAGAGGAGAGGGCGTGGCAGACCAGGAAGGCGGGGCCGTACTGTGTCACCACCCATTGGGAGTTGCCAGACGCCTTCTCCATCCTCTTGCTACCAACTATTCTAGAAATGGGGAAACTGAGGCCCGGAGATGGCAGCTGTTTAGAGGCCAAGAGCCCAGATTTCAGCAAACTCAACCCTGCTGTTGGATTACCCCTGCCCCGCCACCAGCCTGGAGCAGCCACCTTAACCCGGCTCTGGCAGGGATGACTGTAGAATACCACAGGGCCCCAGAGCAGAAAGCTGGCCTGCTAATTGACCCTAAGGTTCAAGTCCCCCAAGTCCCTATGGTCTAGAGGGCTGGGGGAAAAAAAGGGCTGACTGAGCAAGTCCAGACCTCTCTGATTTCTCGTTTGTAAAATGAGAGCGGTGATGCCTCTCTGACAGGAAGGCATCAGTGTCAGAGGAATCAGAGGACTCCGTGAGCCCAAAAAATCCACGGGGCCCCAGATGACAACCAGGAGGACTAGATTCAAATCTCATATCCCTGAGAAAATCATTCCCCTCTCTGAGCCTCAGCTTCCCCAACTGCACAATGAGGGGACTCAGTCAATGATCTTAAGTTCCCATCCATCACTGAGAGCCTATGGGAAACTGTCTGCCGAAGTTTTAAATTCTAGAGCAAAAATACAAACCCTACTACTATATCTCCCCAGCTCCCTAAATTGGCACTTGAAGGCTCTCCTCTAGCCTGTCACTGGTCTGCCAGGGGGTCACGGTAGCCCTGCCCAGGTAACTCCCCGGCTCCGCTGGCCGGTGAAACACTGAGGGCCAAAGTCAAGTCCCTGGTCCCAGGGCTAGACCCAAACCTCCAGACCCCTCGCCGCCCCAGCTGCAAACCTCCGGCGGCGGCCCCTAGGGGGCAGTGTTGCCCCGAACTTGGGCCGCGGCCGCCACTGCCCCCGCCCGGCTCAGCGCCGGGAGAATACTTGAGTTCTGGGAATGTTGGACACCCCCCCGCACACACACCGCCCCCCGCTGCCGGCCCCAGCCCGGGGGCTCCCGCGCTGCGCGCAGCCGGCTCGGTGCGGACTTGCTGCTGGATCCCCACCTCTCCCAGCCGAATGCAATTCTGGGCACAGGGTTTTTGTTTGGGGTTGGTTTTTTTTTTTTTTTTTGGCCGGGGTTGGGAGCAGGCATTCGGCTCGGGCTGCCTGCGCGGACTAGGATGTCTGAGCTCAGAGACCCGTGGGAGAAATTCGAGGGGCGAGGGGGCTTGTTCTTCCAATAACCTGTCAGCTGCTTCCCCCGTCTCCCCTTTATCCCCGTCACCCCTCCCCGATATTTGATGGGCATCCACCCCGTACCACCTACCCCAGATCCATCTCCGGGGATCCCCCAACCCCGCCAGGAAGCGCCCCGGGGTGGGGGGTACTGCAGTGCGTGATGTTTCCACCCCACCACCAGCCTCGCTTCCCCAGCTCAAACCCAGGCCCAGGGGCCAGGACACAGCCATGATCTGAAGGGTAGCGTTTGAGGGGGGCGACTCCTGCTGCGAATTTCCCCCACCCCCAGCCGTGAGCCGTAAAGTCAGGGGCTGGAGCATAGACGGTAAAGGGGAAAAGAAGGAAACCCCCATTCAAGTTTGGTCCAACGGTTTCATGGGGAGGGGGGCAAGTAGGAAGAATTTTTAAGCCCTGAACCCACAAAGCAGACTTTTTAAAAAATTGTAATTGAAAACATCTCGAAGTAAGGGCCGCCAGAAGCGGGCCCACTCCCCGCCCCCCCGCCCCAACCCCCTTTCCCGCTCCCCGGAGTCCGATGAAGTCATGATAAGTAGGCTGCAAAAAGAAAAAAAAAAGTGGGGGGTAGGCTGGGGGGGTGAGGGCACAGGGGTCCCAGGCTGGGGCCCCGCGCGGACACGGTTTGGATACTATGGTTACGCGATCCGACCCAAACAGCGAAGGTGGACAACAATAGCGGCCGCCAGAGGAGGAAATTCCTTCCGGGGTGGACGGCGCGGGGGGAGGGGCGCCTGGCTGGAACGCCGAGGCGGCGGCTCGGCCAATCAGCGCGCGGCCGCCGGCGGTTTCAAGGTGCCCCGCGCCGCGCGCCCCCACCCCCACCGCGCGCTCCGCTCGGGCGCTGGAATTGCTGAGACGTTTCCCTGCACGCGCCCGGGTAACCCTGCGGAGGCTGCTGCCCGGGCCGACACCGCCCCCCCAGCGCCGCCCCAGGCGCCGAGCCTACAGCCCGGCGAAGGCCGAGAGTGGCGCTGCAAGAGTTGCTTGTCCTCGAGGGAGGTGGGGGGAAAAATCCCTACAAACCACCCCCTGTCTGTGTGTTTGGTTCCTGCACAAGCCTGTTTTCCATTTTAAAGCTTGTCTCAAGAAAAATCAGAGGGAGAGAGACAAGGAGAGAGAAGGTCCACCGACAGCTCTAGAAGCTTGGGAGGACCTGACCCCTGCTTCCCGGTCTCCGAGGCTGTTATATAATAAGTTGGGTTATTGATATTGGCGGTCTTGCCCGGGCATCCGGGATGCAGAGGTCCAAGGGCAAAGCTGCTATCTAAAACCCCCTCACCACCAAGTTCATGGGATCTGGCTTGCAGTGGGCTCATCGAAACCAGGGGCTCCCCTTCGCCGACATCTGGGTTATTCATGCGGTGCCCAGTGGGGTGACGGTAGCCGTTTCTCCCCCACCTGCCAGAGATTCTGTGCCCCAAGTCCCTCTCTTTTGGAAACCCCGGACTGGCTCTCAATCCTCTTTCCCAGCGGCCAAACCCTCAACCGCGCCTCCTCTCTCTCTTGCTCTCCTGCCAACTACCCAACGCCGGCATGCTGGGCACTGCGAGCGCCACATCGATCCCGTTCCTTTTTTAAGCCCCTGAACCAGGTTTCTGCTTTCTGATGCCTTCTGGGCACAGGGCACCACTTCCATGAGGAGTACAGGCCGTTTTATTCACTGCATATTAAAAGACACTTCTCTGAAAGGATCTAATGTTCAAAAAGTATTTTTGCCTCTCCACTCTCTCTCCCTCTCTTCATATATAATGGGGATAGCCCTAATTCTCCCGTTCCTCGTGTGTCTCTTTATAAATAAATAATGCGATTTTATTAATTATGCACGTACACTATCTCCAAGCAGATTGCTGTGTCTCTTGATGCTTAATAAAAAAAAAAAAAAGGAAAAACCCTCTACACTTAAAGCTGTTTTTCCCCTACTGCAAGCAAACAAAAACTTCAAGGGGCCATATGTCCTCAAAACGGGGAGAGGAAGACAGAACTTGGGGAGAGCGTGGGCAGGGAGAATCTAAAGGGGGTCCTGTGCAGGTTTTCAAGGCAGCTAAAGATGGATTTCAATTCGCCTGCTTCATGCTTGTGATTGAGCTGCGGGTCTGAAAACATACCAAGGTTCACTTGGGCATTTGTGCGCTAAGGAGGGATGGGCAGCCGCTAATGGTAAACAGGAAACCAGTGAGAAGAGAGCTGGCGGCAGCCCAGTCCCTCTCTCAATTCGGTGCCCCTCCTCAGAGCCCCTGAACCCCTGAGCTCTCAAAACACACTTGGTTTCTGTGCATTTGTGCATCAACAATCTCCTGAATGCCCAACATAATTCCTGGCACATAGTAAGGGCTCAACAAATATTTGCACATTGAATGAATGGAGTGTGGAAAACATAAAGGGGTTAGGAATAGGCTAGGTCTTGGGACCCAGGCCTAGGAGGGGCAGAAGCTGGGGCTTTTTATCCCTCAGACAATTTGGGGAGTGGGGGACCTGAAGCTTTCTGGCCAAAGAAGTGACAGAACAGAGCTGAGTGTTAAAAAGCAAAGAGACCAGAGGGCAGAGAGAGGTGCAGTAATACCAGCAACGTTAAGCAGAGTTAGTGTGGCCAGGGAGGAATGGACACAGAGATGGTGAGGTGGGGTGTGGTGGGGTGGGGGCTCCTCAGTCCCTTTAGTACATGCAGATGAGGGAGTGGGAAGGGATCAGAAGTGAGCTTTGTTTTGAAACATTGTGGTTGCCAGGCGGGTGCAGTGGCTCACACCTATAATCCCAGCACTTTGGGAGGCTGAGGCAGGGGGATCACCTGAGGTCAGAAGTTGTAGACCAGCCTGGCCAACATGGCGAAACCCTGTCTCTACTAAAAATACAAAAAAAAAAAAAAAAAAAAAAATTAGCTGGGCGTGGTGGGGGCACCTGTAATCCCAGCTACTTGGGAGGCTGAGGCAGGAGAATCGCTTGAACCCGGGAGGCGGAGCTTGCAGTGAGCAGAGACTGTGCCATTGCACTCCAGCCTGGGCGACAGAGCCAGACTCTGTCAAAAAAAAAAAAAAGAGAGAGAGAGAGAAAGAAACATACATTGTGGTTCCAGTTATGAATAGCAAGGCTGTGTGGGAATAGGGATTAAGGGGTGCAGAGATGCGATGCAGAGTCTCCTATAGAACAGGCACTCCGGCACCGGAGGCTGACCTTTTTTTTTTTTTTTTGAGACAGAGTCTCACTCTGTCACCCAGGCTGGGGTGCCAGTGGTGCAACTGAGGCTGAAATTTTAAAAGCAGAAAAAAATAGAGACCCCAGAGGAGGCACATAAAACTGCCCATAGAGTGATTTGTCCAGTGAAGACCCAGAGGGTGCAGAGGCTCGGGGGCAGCCACGGGTCCCAGGTCAAGGCAGTGCCCAAGCTGGCACACGTTTTTTGTACTACTCCCACCGCACAGAGCAGAAACAGTTTTCTCACACTGCCTGGGGCAGACCAAGCTTCCTGACAAAAGGGTTAATTAAACTGGGCGTGTGTTGCGCAAGTTCAAAAATAATTTTTTTTTAAAGGGAGAAGTTCTGGATGCCATTTCTCCTGCCTGTGAGAGGTCTATATATCACTGAGGAGTTAAAACATAAAATAAAATTGTGCTGGCTGTGGTTACCACAAAGCTATCAAGCTGGGTCTTGTTGCTGGAGCCCTGGCATCTGCTGTGTAATCTGGGGAGCACTTAGTCTCCCAACCGTGGGTGGGGGCAGTCTCCTGACTTCTCCCTTTGTATCCTCCTAATTAAAAAGAATTAAGATCTCTTTCCATGTGTGTTAAAGAACATCTCTTGTGCTAAGGAGAGGCAGACACTAGAGGTCCCTGGGGTGTGAGGATGGTACCAGGATCTAGCATGAACCCACCTCTCAGAGAAGCCATGCCCTGTTCTGTGACCTTGAGCAAGGACCTCAGTCTGCCCACAAATCAAACTGGGGTGGAGGAAGGCTGGGCGCAGTGGCTCACGCCTGTAATCCCAGCACTTTGGGAGGCCGAGGTGGGCGGATCATGAGGTCAGGAGATCGAGACCATCCTGGCTAACATGGTGAAACACCGTCTCTACTAAAAATACAAAAAATTAGCGGGGCATGGTGGCGGGCACCTGTAGTCCCAGCAACTTGGGAGGCTGAGAATGGCGTGAACCCAGGAGGCGGAGCTTGCAGTGAGCCAAGACTGCGCCACTGCACTCCAGCCTGGGCCACAGAGTGAGACTCCGTCTCAAAAAAAAAAAAAAAAAAAAAAATGGGGTGGAGGAAGGCTATTTGAAGATCAAGGATCTCTCATGTTCTGTGGTTCTTAGATATGTGTCCAACAGGACCGTGGGGCGATTGTGCCTTGTGGCCGGTTGAGGTGGAGCCTCTGCCCCCGTGCAGCCGTCATGCCT
Organism: Homo sapiens; assembly: GCF_000001405.40. Lineage (NCBI taxonomy): Eukaryota > Metazoa > Chordata > Mammalia > Primates > Hominidae > Homo > Homo sapiens. The sequence continues at coordinate 54,484,809 of NC_000001.11, read as the reverse complement.
GTTCCAGTTGTGAGCTAAGGTCCAAAAAAACAAACCACCTCTAGACCACAGAGGTCTCCAAATTATAGACATGCTCAAGCTCTGATAGAGAGCATCCCACACACACATGCAGCAAAACCTTAGGGTCAGAAACTGTCCAGGCTGAGAAATCACGGGGCCCAGCTCACCTGAGATACACAAAGGCCCTCTACAACATCCCAGGCTAGTGTGTGTCCAGCCACTGCTTGAATACCACAAGTGACAGAGAGCTCCCTTACCGTCTATGAACTCTAGCACAGTCTATCCTAACCACTGCTGCTGGTATCCACCAAGATGTCTTGCTAATATCTCAAAGTCGGCATTTACCAAGATGGAACTCTTCATGTCCTCATCAGACCTGCTCCTCCTCCCCTTCCTCCTATGTGTCCTGGCTCGGAAAACTGGCACCACGAGCTAGAAACTTGGGAGTTATTCTTGACTTCCCACTCCACCTCCAGGCAGCCAGTCTCCAAGTCCTGAGGTTCTGCCTTCTTACTCCCTCTCCAGGCATTCCCCGCTGCCTCATCACTCCTCACCTACGTATATTGTTACATCAGCTTTCTAGCCGGTCCCCTTGCCTCCTCACTATCCCTTCCAAATTACCCTCCAGGCTGCCTACCAGAAGTCTCTTTCTGAAGCCTTAACCTGAATGCAACATGCCTCTGCTTATAAATAAACGATGACCTGAGTTGCCCACATAACCGAAGTCCAAATTCCTTTGGCCTTTCTTCACCTGGCTCCAGGCACATATGCAGCCCCACAGCTCACTTCTCCCCACCGATTTACCTTACACGCCGGCCACACCAAACAGCGTGTTGTTCCCTGAATATTCTCTGTTCTTTCATGCCTCTGTTTCTGCAAATGCTGTGTCCTCTACCTAGGACACCCTTCTAGTCACTAAAGAGAGAGATGAAAAATAGAGTCCCTGACCAAGAAGAGCCCATTTTCTAGAGCTGCACTATCCAGTATGGCAACCACTTGCCACATGTGGCCAATGAGCCCACAACATGCAGCCAATCCAAATCGAGGTGCTATGAGTGTAAACTACGTGCCAGAGTTTGAAAGACTTAGTACCAAAAAATGTAAATTAATTTGTTCATAGTTTCTTTTTTTTTCTTTTTTTTTTTGAGACGGAATTTTGCTCTTGTTTCCCAGGCTGAAGTGCAGTGGCGCAATCTCGACTCACTGCAACCTCCACCTCCTGGGTTCAAGTGATTCTCCCGCCTCGGCCTCCCGAGTAGCTGGGATTACAGGCATGTGCTACCACGCCTGGCTAATTTTGTATTTTTAGTAGAGACGGGGTTTCTCCACGTTGGCCAGGCTGGTGTCGAACTCCCAACCTCAGATGATCCACCCGCCTCGGCCTCCCAAAGTGCTGGTATTACAGGCATGAGCCACCGCAGCTGGCCCATAGTTTCTTTATATTAGGCCGGGCATGGTGGCTGACACCCATTATCCCAGCACTTTGGGAGGCCAAGGTGGGAGAGTGGCTTGAGGCCAGGAGTTCAAGACCATCCTGGGCAACATAGTGAGACTCTATCTCTACAAAAAATAAAAAATTACCCAGGTGTGGTGGTGCACACCTGTTGTCCCAGCTACTCGGGAGGCTGAGGCGAGAGGGTTGCTAGGAGGATGAGGCTGCAGTGAGCTGTGATCATGCCACTGTACTCCAGCCTCAGTGACCTTGTCTCAAAAATGTAAAGAAGTTATTATTATTATTGATTACATGTTTATGATATTTTGGATATATTGAGTTTAATATAACTTACTAAAAGTAATTTCAAGGGCTGGGCATGGTGGCTCACACCTATAACCTCAGCACTTTGGGAGGCTGAGGCAAGTGGATCTCTTGAAGTTCAGAAGTCCGAGATCAGCCTGGGCAACTGGGCAAAACCCCATCTTTACACACAATATAAAAATTGGCTGGGCCTGAGGCCGGGCATGATGGCTCACACCTGTAATCCCAGCACTTTGGGAGGCCAAGGCGGGTGGATCACGAGGTCAGGAGTTCGAGACCAGCCTGACCAACATGGTGAAACCCTGTCTCTACTAAAAGTACAAGGAGAATCGCTTGAACCCTGGAGGCAGAGGTTGCAGTGAGCCTAGATCATGCCACTGCACTCCAGCCTGGGCGACAGAGCAAGACTCCGTCTCAAAAAAAATAAAATTAGCTGGGCCTGGTTGTGCACACCTGTAGTCCCACCTTGGGAGGCTGAGGTGGGAGGATTACCTGAGCCTGGGAGTTCAAGGCTGCAGTAGCTGTGATGGTGCCATTGCACTCCAGCCTGGGTAACAGAGTGAGACCCTGTCTCGAAAAAAAAAAAAAGTAATTTCACCTGTTTATTTTTAAAATATAGCTACTAGGGAATTAAAAATGACAGACGACGGAGAGGTGCAGTGGCTCACGCCTGTAATCCCAGCACTTTGGGATGTTGGGGTCAGAAGTTCGAGACCAGCCTGGCCAACATCGTGAAACCCCGTCTCTACTAAAAATACAAAAAATTGCCGGGCATGGTGGTGGACGCCTGTAATTCCAGCTACTTGGGAAGCTGAGGCAGAAGAATCGCTTGAACCTGGGAGGCGGAGGTTGCAGTGAGCCGAGATCATGCCACTGCACTCCAGCCTGGGAGACAGAGCGAGACTCCATCTCTAAATAAACAAAAATTAACATGACAGATGTGGTTCCCATTGTGACTTGCATTATATGCTATGGGACAGTGCTGTGAGCAGCACAGACATGCAAACAAGTAGGTGTAATGGTTGCCGCGTGAGAGGAGCATTGATGGCATGGTGAGAAACAAGAGTGTTGGAGGCACGGGTGGGGCGGGGGAGGGAAGGGTGGGCAGCTACCTCCTTCCCATGCTGGTCAGTTCAGCCTTCCTAGCATAGTTGAATGCCTCAGGCAGTACCTGAGTCCAAGTGGCACAGAATGACAAGTACTGGTTGAAGTGAGTGCATCAGGGAAGGTCAGGCTCAACTGTCACCCCATCACTTTCTCTGGAAGGCTGTCCTTGACCACCCTGTCTCTGCCCAGCCTGGTCAGGCCCTCCTGGGAGCCCCCCAACCCCCTCTACTTCCCTGCCACAGCACTGATCAGTCTGAGTTGCCACCGCCTTTAAAGGGTGTGTCCATCCGCCCCTCCCTGCCCAGACTCGGCCTTGAGGGCAACGCCTGCCTTGCTTCCTCATGCTGTGTCCCAGGGCTTGGAGCAGAAGAGACCCTCAGCTCAGTAAATGTTTATTGAAAGTTGAGTGAATTTCTTCATTCAACAAACATTTATTGGCCCTGAGTGTCTTTTCCAAGTAGGTCCTTCCACAACTCCAATGTTACAGACCCTTCTGCCAAGGTTACTGACCCATTTTTCTGTGGGTAAGAGTGATGGTGGCTGGGTTTCCTTTTTTGAGCACCAACCACAGACCACATGACACTTATGTGGGTTATCTTGTTTAAACTTCTCTATAATCCTGTGAGATAGATTCCACATATCCCCATTTTTGTACCTGAGGCTCAGGGAAGTGAAGTGACTTGCCCAAGCTCACACAGTCCGTCTCAGGGGAATGGACCTTCACAAATCCATCCTCCAGTTCCCAGGCCTTCAGCCTGAGACAGGGCCAGTCCTAGGTTTTCTAGGGCGATCCTGGTTGACCAGACCACTCCCACTCTCTTCCCCTCCTTTGCTGCCTTGCCCTTCATCTATACTGGGGTTGTCTAATCTTTTGGCTTCCCTGGGCCACACTGGAAGAATAATAATTGTCTTGGGCCACACATAAAATACATTAACACTAATGACAGCTGATGAGCTACAAAAATAAATAAATATATACATACATAAATACATAAATGCAAAAATAAATCTCATAATGTTTTTAAAAAGTTTACAAATTTATGTTGGGCTGTATTCAAAGCTGCCCTGGACCACATGTGGTCCATGGGCCACGGGTTGGACAAGCTTAGTCTCTAGTTCTTCAGCCTGTGAGAAGGCAGAGATTAACTCAGAACCCAGAGGCAGGGAGTGCGCCTCACGCCACACTCTGCAGGGGAAGTGCCCCTCCCCACATGCTGCCTATGGTTGAGCACCCCACCCCCAGCTGGGGAAGGGAGGAGGGAGGAAAAGAGAAACCCACCGGGCCTCTGGGGCACAGCCCTTGAGGAGCCCCGGTGTTTGGTTTCAATTAGGAGGACAAATTCCAGGAAGCCAGGCCAGTGCTGGGGGGATGGGGGTTCACAGAGCAGGACTAAAAATGAGGAGGCTCCTGGAATCTGGCCTCAGCCTTGGGAAGAGGCTCCCATAGGGCTGGGGGGCCGCTGGGAAGAAGTGTGGCTTGCAGAGCCAGGGTGGAGTCCCAGTTCACGGTCACCGACTTACAGTGTACTGTCAGGGCGGTGGAGAATGTAGGTCAGGTTCCTGGCACACAGTGGGCTCTCAGGGGCTCAGCAAATGGTGGCCAGCACTGCTTCTGCTCCTGCTCACATTGCTCCATAAATCCCAGTTCTGGGGGTGGGGAAGGCTGTCTGGTGGTTGACAATGCAACCCAGCTTGTCAAACTGAGGGCCATGCGCTGGGGCACCAAGTTTTCTGAAGCTGGGAGCTCCTGTACAATCTAGGAGCACAAATAACTGCTACGGTGCCACCAGAGCTGGATGCTGGGAAGCTTCGAGAATAGAAGCTTGAAGAGAGAAGAACTCTTGTTGTCTGTCCTGCTCACTCTTGTCTCCTCAGCACCTAGCATCATGCCTGGCATATGATAAGCACTCAACAGATATTTGTTGAATTAATGGGTGATTAGCTCTTCTGGGAAATTTCAGGGAAAGCTTCTTAGAAGAAGGGTGCATCTAAGCAGGGTTTTAAGAGATGAATAACAGCTTGGAGACCAAGAAAGGGAGAAAGGGCATTCCAAGCAAAGGGAACAGCTGATGCAGAGACCAGGCAGCATGGAGCATGTAGCAAAGTATTCATTGATTGATTCATTCCCCCGAATGGTGATGGCATGCCTGTGATGTTCTAGGCACCGTGCTCACCAGATTGCCGTGCTGGATTGAAAGCGTTCATGCTGGAGGAGTAGGCAGGGGCCAGACCATGGCAGAGTCCGGTGTGGGATGGGGATGGGCTTGTGTGTCTTGCAAGGGAGTCAGGACTCTGCCCTGCCAGCTATAGGGAGGTCTGGAGGGGTTCCTATCTCCTCAGGAGTAATCAAGTAACACAGAACTGGAGCTTGGCCTGGAGGAGTTCTCAAGAACAACAGCTCATCCTACCCTACAGCTGCGACTCTGAGGGATGTTGGGACTTGTTCAAGGACATCTATGTAGGAAAGCAGAGCTGGCACTCGGTGACGCACAGCCCAGTGCTTGCTCCCAGTGCCAGGCCCCTCAGCTCTCTGCTGGACCCACCCTCTGTCAGACATTCCTGAGTTGGCTCCTCCTTTGATGAACGGCCTTGGGTACTTCTCCTCTCTCTGGACCAAAGGGCTTAGGCTGAGGCAGTGTCTCCCAAAGTGTGGGACAGGTACATCCAGCGGGATGAGGGATGAGGTCAGGGAGTCCACAGGCCTGGCCACACAAAAATGGAATCTCAGTCTCATCTTCTTGAAAGTTATTTCTTTTCGGCCAGGCACGGTGGCTCACATCTGTAATCCCAGCACTTTGGGAGGCCGAGGCAGGTGATCACCTGAGGTCAGGAGTTCGAGACCAGCCTGGCCAACATGGCGAAACACCTTCTCTACTAAAAATACAAAAAATAGCTGGGTGTGGTGGCAGGCGCCTGTAATCCCAGCACTTGGGAGGCTGAGGCAGGAGAATCACTTGAACCCAGGAGGTGGAGGTTGCAGTGAGCCGAGATCACACCATTGCACTCCAGCCTGGGCACCAGAACAAGACTCTGTCTCAAGAAAGAGAAGAGAAGAGAAGGGAAATTCCTTTTCAATTCTTCCTTCTGATTAAGTCTGGGAGAAAGAAAAAGGCTCAGATTGGGGCTGGTAGGTCTCTAACGCCTTTCTAACACCTGTGAATCTCCCTTTATAGAAGAGAGAGATCTCCCAGCAAGCAAGAGTATCTAAGCCAGCATTGGTTCGTTTTCATTGCAATTATTTTATATTTACCTTCTGTTTCTGGAAAGCAATACTGGTTTTCCATTTAGAATACTGATAGAGTTTCCTTATTGAAGCTTGGCAAAGTGAGTTAATTTAAAGAAAAACAGGAAGTGAGGTAAGCAGATATGGCAAAAGTCATGGATGGGGTACAAATGACCGGGTTTTGGGGAAGTCCTAGGTGGGATCCTAAGCGCCTATGACTCTTCAGTTTTAACATCACTATTTTTCTAGGAAACTGCCTAAGAGTCTAGGTGCTGTTTATCTTTTTTAAAAAACGGGAGATGCCGGACATGGTGGCTCACGCCTGTAATCCCAGCACTTTGGGAGGCCAAGGCGGGTGGATCATGAGGTCGGGAGATCAAGACCATCCTGGCTAACATGGTGAAACCCCGTCTCTACTAAAAACACAAAAAATTAGCCGGGCATAGTGGCGGGCACCTGTAGCCCCAGCTACTCAGGAGGCTGAGGCAGGAGAATGGCGTGAACCCAGGAGGTGGAGCTTGCAGTGAGCCAAGATCACGCCACTGCACTCCAGCCTGGGCAGCAGAGCAAGACTCTGTCTCAAAAAATAAATAAATAAAATAAAATAAAATAACAGGAGAAGGTAGGTGTCTCCCTGGGCATTTACTGATGGGATCAATTCTATTTGCCATGGAATTTCCCTTAGCAAACTTCAGTGCCAGTTACAACACCTTGGCCACACCTCCTGTGAAATGGAGATGAGGAAGGAGCCCCAAGCTGGGATGGCTGGTCTTAGGCCATTATCAACCTCATTCATTTGATTCTGGGAGGCCCTAAGGAGAGAATCTGGGACTTCCACGCCCCTAGAGTGGAGAGCAGCTCTCATCAGGCTTCAAAGCAGAAAAAAGCTCTGCTGAATTGAAGAGGGCGAGGGGACATGTTAGTTAGTGGGCACTGTGGTGCTATCAGTTCCCATCCGATCTTTCTTCTTCCTCCATTAAGTCCCCTGTAGATGAAGGTGCTTATGAAGAATTTCAAGAGGCAAGGGAAAGGCCGGATCTAACACCAGGTAGAAGTGGGTTCAGATCCTGTTTCACTGTTCACCCGAGTCTTTAGCTGATTTAGCTGAGCCAGAGCATTCCTGTGTGCTAAGTAGTGATCTTAATCCCCCCGACAGAGATAGAAAGGGTCTGATAGATAAACTAGATACTGTGAGAATAACCACATCCACTGGTCCGGTACACACCTGCTTATTAAACTATGCAAACGTTTGAGCTACAGAACGCACAGAAAGCCCAGATGCCTTCAGGAAACAGGAACTCATTCTGCCCAAGGGGCTGAAGCAGGAAAAGCTCTCTACTTCCAGGGCACTTTTGAGTTGGGCTTTGAAGAATTAGTAGGAGTTCCCCATTGAGTCGGCCACGAGGCTTAGGAAATAAACCATGGTCAGAGGAAATTGAAATGAGGAGGCTGAGAGTCACACAGAGAGTACACTCCCAGCCCCTACAGGGAACCACAGCAAGAATGTTCGTTAAAAAGAAGGGAGGAGCTAGGTTTGGTGGTGCTGTACCTGTAGTACCAGCTACTCAGGAGGCTGAGGCAGGGAGACTGCTGCTTAAGCCCAGGAGTTCAAGGCCAGCCCGGACAACATAGCGAGACCCTGTCTCTAAAAGATAAAAATAAAAAAAGAAGGAAGGACTTATCCCAGGGGTTTGGGAAGAATTCTAGTCCAGGATTTGACTCTAGGTGTAAGATGACTTAAGAAGGGTCAAGGGCCCCTTCATCATAAGTCAAGTCAAAAGGTCAACTGGTCCATCCCTCTGTGGCTAAGCTACCCTGGTTACTTTGTCCCTAAACCTGCTTCCTCCTCTGTGCTAGAAGCAAGCCCCATGTTGCATGAGTAGGGAAGGAAGGGGGAGGCTCCTCCCTGATTCCTGGGTTTGTGTCCAACAGGCTAGGCCCATAGCCCAGCAGCCCCTTCCCTCCCTCTCCAGGAGCGTGACCCCCACCTTCTGCATGGGGGGCTCCATTTCTTCCTGCAGCCTTGACCCAGGGCAGTGAAACCAAATGGAAAAATAAGCCCCCTTTCCCGGGCCTGGGAGGGACAGAAGGAGGCAGGGCCCATTTTCTAGGTCAGAACTCCTTGCCCCTGCTCTTCCTCCCCTTGCCTATATTTTTCAAAACTAGACCTTGGGGAGAGAGGGAGAGGGAGAGGGAGAAAAGTGTGGATGCTTCTGTGTGTGTGGCTGAGTGCGTATATCCTGTGTGGAGAGAGGGAGAGGAAAAGAGAACAGAGCCTGAGAGAGTGTGTGTGTGTGTGTGTGTGTGTGTGCGCGTGTTGTGTGCATGTGGAAAGAGAGGGTGACAGGGAGAGGGAAAGAGAACAGAGCCTGGGAGTGTGTGTGTGTGTGTTGTGTGCGTGTGGAGAGGGAGGGTGACACGGAGAGGGAAAGAGAACAGAGCCTGGGAGTGTGTGTGTGTGTATGTGTGGCTGTGTGCAAGAGAGAGACTGGCGTGTGTGTGTGTGTGGGGGTTGTGTGTGTGTGTGGCGCTTCAGCAGCAAGCTGTACCTTAAAGGGACAGACCCTGCCTCTGCCTGCTCCCCTCTACCATCCCCCACCCCCAGCACCACCTCCCGCCACCCTCAGCTGGGAACCCGAGCAGAGCCTGTCCCCAGCGACTCCAGCCAGAGGGCAGAGAAGCAAGCCCAGCCCTCTCAGAACCACCCCCTCCATAGCCAAGGCTTTGAGAACTCAGAAATGGGTCCTCCAGGAGGAGAAAATAGAAAGGGGCTTTATTCCCCAGGAAAGCCGGGCCTCCCCTGAGAACTGGGGGGCCGGGGAGAGAGGAGGCCCAGCACTGGGGCAAAACTGTCTGGTTGGGATCCTGGCTGTCCGCTTACTAGGGTGAGGGTGGGTGGAGGGAGGTTACCACCTCCACACCTCTTATGAAGGCTGGCAACAGGGCCACGGCGCTGTACCAGTCACTGATGGAGACCAGAAGGGTGTGGGCAGTGGGAGAACAGCCACCAGGGCCTCCTCGCAGACAGGAAGCCCCTGCCTCGGGTCTGCACTCAGGCAGTCAGTCTCCTTGCCATCTTGGCAGCTGGCGCCTGCAGACCGGAGCGCAGGGGTGTTTGTTTTCTTCCCACAGCAACTGCCCCTCCCCCATGCCCAAACCCGGTTTCGGCTCCAAGGCAGGAGGTGATGGTGGGGTGCTGTGAGGTTCAAACCGGGTTTCTCACCCCGCCCCTCCCTCTCATGCGCTGTGTGATCGACACGGTCCGCACCGTCTCTGAGCTGCTGCGGCCCCATCTCTACAATGGAGGTGGTGGGTACAGAGACTGCCGGCTCTTACAACTGACATTCCCCGGTTCAGGATACAACGGTGGATGTCATCTGTTGAAAAAATAAAGTCTTCACCTGGGAAGAGGGTGAAAAATTACGTAGCCCTGAGTCCTCCCCGCCCAGCCCCAGAGCCACAAAAAGTAGTGTGTGCTGGGAATGTCCTTGGAAACCTGGTCCAACCCCTCCATTCACAGTCGGGGAAACTGAGGCTAGAAGGTGGTGAGTTGCCCAAGATGCTCAGGGAATCAGAGCCTAAACTGGGACTGGAGCCTGAGTGTCCTGGCCCCTGAGTGTCCTGGCCCCACCCCTTTGCTCTGCGGCGGGCCCGGATCTCGGAGGGAGCAGCCGGAGTCACTATGCTGGGAGGCGGCGGAGGAGCCGGGGGCGCGCCCCGACCCCGCGGGCCCCTTCCGGCCCCTCCCCCAGCCTGCTCACCGACCCGCCACCTGCTCCCCCTGCGCCCGGGCGGGGCTGCCGCCCCCACCCCCGTCCCCATGGCAACGCGCGGCCCCTGCCTGCCGGCCCTGCCTCCCCGCCGCTGCGCAGCCCATCTGGCCCCAAGCCCACCCCAGCTGGGCCACCCCCGGCCGGTACCGCCGGGGGCCCTCACAGCCCCGCAGCGGCCGGAGACCCGGACGGGGAGCGCCAGGCGTCGGGCGCCTCTCCTAGCCATGGCCGGCTGCTGGCCGCAGGATGTGGGGCAAAAGCCACTCAACCCTCCGCGATCTCACATTCTAGCCCTGGAGGCAGAGACCCCCAAATCCCCACTCACTGCGGCAGGAGGCAACATGTTGGAATTAGAAGCCAGCTTTCTGGAGGCAGCTGGCCTGGGTTCCAGTCCCCAAACAGTGTGACTGCAAGCATTCCCCTTAACCTGTTAACCTATCTGAAAAATGCAGGTAACCATAGAACCTGCCTCAGAGAATGCTTATGAGGAGGAATAAATGGGCCAATAAAGAAAAATGCATGGAGTTAGCACTCCATCAGTGTCACCTATTATTACTACTGCAGGGGCAAGTGTTGCAAGAGGGAGAAGTGGAGGGCCCTAACCTAGCCTAGGGCAGCAAGGGAGGCTGGCTGGAATCTTAGGAAGTGGCAGTTACTGAGGAAGCCAAGGTGAAGAGGGAACAGCATCAGCAAAGGCACAAAGGTGGAAAATAGTATGGGAGGGTCGGTAGGTGGGAAGGGAGACTTGCAAAGCCCCTGAGTGTTGCTGGGGAGTGTAGAAGAACTGGGCTTTTAGAAGGAGAGCCCTGGGACAAGAGCCATGGATGGTTTTGAACAGAGGTGTGATGTGGCCCCTTCCTTTCCCAGAGACCACTCTAGCTGCCATATGGGGAATGGCTTGGAAGGACCAGTGGTCCTTCTGAAAGATGATAAGGCCTGAACAAGGGCAGGTGCAAAGTCACTGGAAGGTGGGGACAGAATCAGGAGCTATTAAGGAAGTAACATGGCAGAATGGTGACCTATGGATTGGATGTGGCAATGGATAAGAACGCTCAGGTGCTTGGCTTGGGCACTGGGAGGGTGGCAGGGCCGGAAAAGGGGCAGGTCTGGGGTGGGAAGGAAGATGAGAAGTTGTATGTGTATAGCAAGGGTTGGAGGTGCTGTCCAGCTGAGAAGACTTCTGTCCTCCAAAAGAGGAGGACCAGTCTTCTGATTGAATTCTAAATATCCTTTCCCTGGGGTCCAAGTGGAATCTGTCCAAAAGAAATTCAGGAGTTCTGACACAAACTCTATGTGTGCCATTGTGTTTCTGAGCTTTTTGGGGTTTTAGATGGCTGTTTTGGAGTCAGAGCGGGGCAGGAGGATACAAGGAGATAGTATATACGAGGAGGTCGTTAACCTGTGTGGGGTCTTAGGCAAGTCTTCTCACCAAGCCTCAGTTTCCTCCTTGGAACCTACCATGCAGGATTACTGTAATAATTAAATGGGATGCTGGACACAAAGCTCCCAGCAAGGCCTCTGGCACAAGGAAGGCACTCTTGTTAAACATATAAATTCCAGGATCCCTCCTAAGAATCAGGAATATGCATTTCCAAGGGATGGTCTGAGAAATCTGCTGTTAAGACTTGCCCACCATTGGATCAAAGCCTCCAACTGTCACCCTGGGACTCCCCTGGCACCGGGCCCTCCAGCTGATGGCCCACCCCTAACATCACAGCCTGGGACAAAAGTCAAATGGCAGTCCTCCTGCCAGGTTCCCCCTCCTCTTCCCACCTGCCTCATCCCTTACCACAAGGGTCCTTGTGTGCACGCATTGGACCCCAGCCCCCACATCCAAGCTCCTGAGCTAATTTCTTCCTGCCCCCCAAACAGCTCCTTTGTACACCCCTTGGTGCAGGTTTGCACACGCCTATAGCACAGTCCACTGGGAGGACAGACCCTAGTCCTGGGAACAGGCTCAGGGCCCTTGGGGCAGGGAATTCCAGATCTCAGATACCTGAAGTGTGATCTAGAATGGTGAGCTTGGGCCCCAGGTGGGCATATCCCCTCACCTCGAAGGGGGCACACCTCACCTTGTAGGGAGCGGTGGGGCTGGAGGAAGGCATAGGGGATCTCTATATAATAGAGTTCAGAGCAGGAGCCCAGTTTCCTGGGAATATGGGCTCCCTTGCCTCTGTTCCTATCAGCCTTTCCCACCAAGGACCTCTGGCCAGCCCATGGCTCCCCAGCAGCCATATCACAGAGGCTGTAGCCAAGTGTCCTGCCTGACCAGCTGAGGTCACTTCAGTCTTTGCCTCCAGCCACAGCCAGCTTCTGCTGGCCCTGGGGAAGATAGAATCCTGGGGCCTCCCACATAACTACCTCCTGGCCATCACATCCCACACGTGCCCAGTCCCTTACTTGTCATGGGAGGTAATATATTAATAATTCTCCTTTAAAAATGAGGAAACAGGCCGGGCACAGTGGCCCACACTTGTAATCCCAGCACTTTGGGAGGCCGAGGCAGGCGGATCACTTGAGCTCAGAAGTTCGAGAGCAGCCTGGGCAACATGGGGAAACCCTGTTTCTACAAAAAAATTACAAAAAATTAGCTGGGCATAGTGGCGCATGCCTATAGTCCCAGCTACTTGGGAGGCTGAGGTGGGAAGATTGCTTGAGCCTGAAGAGGTTACAGTCAGTGGAGATCAGACTACTGCACTCCAACCTGGGTGATAGAGTGCGACCCTGTCTAAAAACAAAAATAGAGGAAATAGAGGCTGAGGGAAGGCAAAGGAGGAGCGACAGTGTAGAGCAGCTACTGAATGCCAAGCGCTGAGCTCAGTGCTTTCAAAGACTCCACCATAAGATGCCCCACACAACCTGGCAGAACTATCTCCACTTGGCAGGTAAGGACAGGACGGTGTAGCTCAGGAAGGTAGCTTGCCTAAAGATCATTCAGCTGGTAGGAGGCAGAGTTGGAATTTAAACTCAGGCTGGTTAGACCCCTGGCCCAGACCCCAGGGACCACAGTAGGCCTTCCACGAGTCTTGCCAAGAGGGGCTGAGGATAGTTGGAAACCTGGGCCTACCATCCTGATGAGGGCCACGGAATGTGAGGAATGTCCACCCCCAGGGCAAGGCCCTGGGCAAGGTGACCTTTGGGGAGATAAAGTGGAATTCCAGTGCTCAAAACTGAGGCTGTAATAGACTAGCAGAGGTAGACCTGGGGTGGTACCACCAGGGACGGGGGCCAGCTGCAGCCAGGCGCCTGCCCCCACAAACTCCTCCCTGAGTCGATAGTTAAACCTGGGGCATGCGATGGGGCTCTGGGAGGAGACAACGCTATGTCCTCAGGCCCTGCTGTTCCCTCCATTGGAATCTTCCTTCCCCCGTCTGCCAACAGCATATGTCAACTGCTATCCTCTAACTCTGTCCCCAACTATTACCTGAACATTTCCACTTGGAGAGCCCTGGAGAAGTGCTAAACTCCAGAACTAAGCTCACCATGCACCCTGCCAGCCTCCCAGCACCCTCCCTGGAGTGCCACCTTCATATTCCACTAGTCCATTCAGAAGTAAAAATGCTAGTCTTGCCCCTTCCTTCTCGCTGTCACCCATGCATCCAAACTCAATCTCCCAGTTCCTCTAGGATCTTTTCTGCAGCCCACCACCCCACCCCAGCCCCTCTTCTCTGGCCTGGAACCCAGCTAGCCTCCTTGTTGACTCTGGCAGAATTATTCCCAGTTGACAGGTGAGGACATTGTAGCTCAGGAAGGAGAGGTAACTTGCCCAGTGAGCACCAAGCTGGTAGGAGACAGAGTCCAGATTAAATTTTAAATGATATTTTTTCTTTTTCTTTTTCTTTTTTTGAGACGGACTCTTGTTCTGCCGCACAGGCTGGAGTGCAGTGGCATGATCTCGGTTCACTGCAACCTCCGCCTCCCAGGTTCAAGCGATTCTCCTGCCTCAGCCTCCTGAGTAGCTGGGACTACAGGTGCGCACCATCATGCCTGGCTAATTTTTGTATTTTTAGTAGAGACGGGGTTTCACCATGTTGGCCAGGCTGGTCTCAAACTCCTGACCTTGTGATCCACCCACCTCAGCCTCCCAAAGTGCTGGGATTACAGGCATGAGCCACTGCACCAGGCCTCTTTTTTCTTTTTTTTGAGACAGAGTTTCACTCTTGTTACCCAGGCTGGAGCGCAATGGCATGGTCTCAGCTCACTGCAACCTCAGCGTCCCAGGTTCAACTGATTCTCTGACCTCGGCCTCCCAAGTAGCTGAGATTACAGACATGTACCACCATGCCCAGCTAATTTTTTGTATTTTTTAGTAGAGACAGGGTTTCACCACGTTGGCCAGGCTGGTCTTGAACTCCTGACCTCAGATGATCTGCCTGCCTCGGCCTCCCAAAGTGCTGGGATTACAGGCATGAGCCACCATGCCTGTAACTGGCAGGATCTTACTCTTGGTGCCCAGGCTGGAGTACAAGGGCACAATCACGACTCACTGTAGCCTCAACTTCTTGGACTCAAGTGTTCCTCCCACCTCAGCTTCCAGAGTAGCTGGGATTAGAGGCATGTACCACCAGGCCCAGCTAATTTTTTGTATTTTTTGTAGAGACTTTCCGCCACGTAGAGGGTTTCCATCATGTTACCCAGGCTGGTCTTGAACTCCTGAGCTCAAGCCATCTGCCCGCCTTGGCCTCCCAAAGTATTAGGATTAAGGCTAAAATAAAATTTAGGCCGGGCGTGGTGGTTTAGGCCAGGCGTGGTGGTTTAGGCCAGGCGTGGTGGCTCATGCTTGTAATCCCAGAACTTTGGGAGGCCGAGATGGGCAGATCACGAGGTCAGCAGTTTGAGACCAGCCTGGCCAACGTGGTGAAACCCCGTCTCTACTAAAAATACAAAAATTAGCTGGGCATGGTGGCAGGCATCTGTAATTCCAGTACTCAGGAGACTGAGGCAAGAGAATCTCTTGAACCCGGGAGGTGGAGGTTGCAGTGAGCCAAGATCATGACACTGCACTCCAGCATGGGCGACAGAGCCAGACTCCATCTCAAAATAAAATAAAATAAAATTTAAATTAAATTTCAAATCAGCTAAATTTGAATTTCAGATAAGCCATGAATATTTTTTGGTATAAGTATATCCCAAATATCACATGTGTATTAGTCCATTTTCATGCTGCTGATAAAGAAATACCCAAGACTGGGAAGAAAAAGAGGTTTAACTGGACTTACAGCTCCACATGGCTGGGGAGGCCTCAGAATCATGGCGGGAGGTGAAAGGCACTTCTTACATGGTAGTGGCAAGAGAAAGTGAGGAAGAAGCAAAAGTGAAACCCCTGATAAAACCATCAGATCTCATGAGACTTATTCACTACCACAAGAACAGTAAGGGGGAAACTGCTCCCATGATTCAAATTATCTCCCACCAGATCCCTCCCACAACACATGGGAATTATAGGAGATACAATTCAAGATGAGATTTGGGTGGGGACACAGAGCCAAACCATATAATTCCGCCCCCAGGCCCCTCCAAATCTCATGTCCTCACATTTCAAAACCAATCATGCCTTCCCAACAGTCCCCCAAAGTCATAACTCATTTCAAAATTAACCCAAAAGTCCACAGTCCAAAGCCTCATCTGAGACAAGACAAGTCCCTTCTGCCTATGAGCCTGTAAAATTGAAAGCAAGCTAGTTACTTCCTAGATACAATGGAGGTACAGGTATTTGGTAAATACAGCCATTCCAAATGGGAGAAATTGGCCAAGACAAAGGGGCTACAGGCCCCATGCACGTCTGAAATCCAGTGGGGCAGTCAAATTTTAAAGCTCCAAAATGATCTCCTTTGACTCCAGGTCTCACATCCAGGTCACGCTGATGCAAGAGGTGGGTTCCCAGGGTCTTGGGCAGCTCTGCCCCTGTGGCTTTGCAGAGTACAGCCTCCCTCCCAGCAGCTTTCAAGAGCTGGCAATGAGTGTATGTGGCTTTTCCAGATGCACAGTGCAAGCTGTTGGTGGAGCTACCATTCTGGGGTCTTGAGGACCATGGCTTTCTTCTCACAACTCCACTAGGTGGTGCCCCAGTAGGGACACTGTGTGGGGACTCCAACCCCACATTCTCCTTCCACACTGCCTTGGCAGAGGTTCTCCGTAAGAGCCCTGCTCCTGCAGCAAACTTCTGTGTGGGCATCCAGGTGTTTCCATACATCTGAAATCTAGGCGGAGGTTCCCAAACCCCAATTCTTGACTTCTGTGCCCCTTGAAGGCTCAATGCCATGTGGAAGCTGCCAAGGCTTGGGGTTTGCACCCTCTGAAGCCATGGCCCTAGCTCTACATTGGTCCCATTCAGCCATGGCTGGAGTGGCTGGGATGCCGGGCACCAAGTCTCTAGGCTGCACACAGCACGGGGACCCTGGGCCCAGCCCACAAAACCACTTTTTCCCTCCTAGACCTCTGGGTCTGCAATGGGAGAAGCTGCCACAAAGTTCTCTGACATGCCCTGGAGACATTTTCCTCATTGTCTTGGGGATTAACCTTAAGCTCCTTGTTATTTATGCAAATATCTGCAGCTGGCTTGAATTTCTCCTCAGAAAATGGGACTTTCTTTTCTATCGCATTGTCAGGCTGCAAATTTTCCAAACTTTTATGCTCTGCTTCCCTTTTAAAACTGAATGCCTTTAACAGCACCCAAGTCACTTTTTTTTGAGACAGAGTCTCGCTCTGTCACCCAGGCTGGAGTGCAGTGGTGCGATCTTGGCTCACTGCAAGCTCCCCCTCCCAGGTTCATGCCATTCTCCTGCCTCAGCCTCCCAAGTAGCTGGGACTACAGGCACCCGCTACCACACCTGGCTAATTTTTTTGTATTTTTAGTAGAGACGGGGTTTCACTGTGTTAGCCAGGATGGTCTCGATCTTCTGACCTCGTGATCCACCCGCCTCAGCCTCCCAAAGTGCTGGGATTACAGGCATGAGCCTCGTGCCTGGCCCCAAGTCACCTCTTGAATGTTTTGCTGCTTAGAAATTTCTTCTGCCGGCTGGGAGTGGTGGCTCACACCTTTAATCCCAGCACTTTGGGAGGCCAAGGAGGGCGGATCACCTGAGGTCAGGAGTTCGAGACCAGCCTGGCTACCATGGTGAAACCCCGTTTCTACTAAAAATACAAAAAATTAGCCAGGCATGGTGGTGCGCACCTGTAGTCCCAGCTACTCAGGAGGCTGAGGCAGGAGAATCCCTTGAACCTGGAAAGCAGAGGCTGCAGTGAGCCAAGATCGCACCACTGCACTCCAGCCTGGGCAACAGAGTAAGGCTCTGTCTCAAAACAACAACAACAAAAGAAATTTCTTCTGCCAGATATCCTAAATCATCTCCCTCAAGTTCAAAGTTCCACAAATCTCTAGGGCAGGGGCAAAATGCAGCCAGTCTGCTAAAACATAACAAGAGTCACCTTCGCTCCAGTTCCCAAAAAGTTCCTCATCTCCACCTGAGACCACCTCAGCCTGGATATCATTGTCCATATTATCAGTATTTTTGTCAAAGCCATTTAACAAGTCTCTAGGAAGTTCCAAACATTCCCACATTTTCCTGTCTTCTTCTGAGCCCTCCAAACTATTCCAACCTCTGCCTGTTACCCAATTTCAAAGTTGCATCCACATTTGTGGGTATCTTTTCAGTAGCACCCACTCTTCTGGTACCAATTTACTGTATTAGCCTGTTTTCACACTACTGACAAAGACATACCCAAGACTGGGAAGAAAAAGGTTTAATTGGACTTACAGTTCCACATGGCTGGGGAGGCCTCAGAATCACAGCGGGAGGTGAAAGGCACTTCTTATATGGCAGCAGCAAGATAAAACGAGGAAGATGCAAAAGCAGAAACACCTGATAAAACCATCAGATCTCGTGAGACTTATTCACTACCATGAGAACAGTATGGGGGAAACCGCTCCCATGATTCAATTATCTCCCACTGGGTCTGTCCCACAACATGTGGGAATTATGGGAGTACAATTCAAGATGAGATTTGGGTGGGGACACAGCCAAACCATATCAACACGGGATATACTTACATTAAAGTCTATTGCTGGGCGAGGTGGCTCACGCCTGTAATCCCAGCACTTTGGGAGGCTGAGGCGGGCGGATCACAAGGTCAGGAGACCGAGACCACAGTGAAACCCCGTCTCTACTAAAAATACAAAAAATCGGGAGGCTGAGGCAGGAGAAAGGCATGAACACGGGAGGCGGAGCTTGCAGTGAGCCGAGATTGTGCCACTGCACTCCAGCCTGGATGACAGAGAGAGACTCCGTCTCAAAAAAAAAAAAAAAAAAAAAAAAAAAAAAGCGTATTTATTGCTATCTACCTGAAATTTAAATTTACTGAGTGTCTTGTATTTCACCTGGCAATCTTAAACCAGTATACTTCACCACTTGAACTCTCTGGAGGTTTCCTGGGGACAGAGGATGAGAAAAACTCCCATGCTTGGAGCACTCTTCCCCCACTGGTACTTCTCTGTCTATCTCCCGCTACCTTTCAATTCTCAGAAATCACCTCCTCCAGGAAGCTTTCCAAAATACTCATAGGTGGGGTTAAGGGCTGCTCTGAGTAATTAGAAGCTATCATAATTCCCTTATTGAAGTCCTAGGTGGTCTGCACTGCTGGTCCCCTATCCATAAGAGCTCCGCGAGGCCGGGCGCAATGCCCCACGCCTGTAATCCCAGCACTTTGGGAGGCTGAGGCGGGCGGATCACCTGAGGTTGGGAGTTTGAGGCTAGCCTGACCAACATGGAGAAACTCCGTCTCTACTAAAAATGCAAAATTAGTCGGGCTTGGTGGTGCATGCCTGTAATCCCAGCTACTTGGGAGGCTGAGGCAGAAGAATCGCTTGAACCTGGGAGGCGGAGGTTGCAGTGAGCCAAGATCGCGCCATTGCACTCCAGCAACAGAGCAAAACTCCATCTTAAAAAAAAAAAGGCTCCACAAGACCAAAATCTTGTCCTTTTATTCATAGTGGTTCCCCAGTCCCTAGAACCTCATGTGGCATTGAGAATAACTTGCTGTGGAACCCGGGATAATCTCATTGCCTTCTCTGGGCCTCAGTCTTCCCATCCATATGAGGAGGGGTCATCAGAGCTGGTCTGGGAGGCCCCCTCCAGCTGATGCCTGCCATTTCAACCTGCACTTTCACACTGGAGACCCTGGGCAGGGTGCCCTGGGAACCAACCCTGCTTGGAAGACGGGAGGATAAGCCCCAGCCCTGCCTCTATGTGACTGCAGCCTCAGACAAGTTCCCCACCCTCTCTCAGCCCGACTCTTCTCCTCTGCCAGGTCCTGTAAAAATGGGAACCGACTGCCTGCCTGGTGAGGTTGTCAGGAGGCTGAAACAAGAGAGGAAAAGCATTCAGCATAGCCCAGGCACACAAGAGGCCCTCAAAGAACAGGATATTTTCAACACCCCCCCACCAATCAGCTCTTCCCACTCTAGTGGAAGGCTTGAATGCCCATCAGGCAATGGGGGCCATGAGAGCTCCAGCGGGAGGAGGGAGAGTGGGAGAAGCTGGGCTGGGAGCGTTCAGGCAAGACTTTAAATCTGGTCTTCAATTTATTTATTTATTTATTTTTAAAGGGCCTGAGCGTCTTCGGCAGGAGGCCCAGGAATCAATCCAGCTGGACAGGGAGGCAACCTAAGGAGAAGGTTCCCCCCTCATTTGAAGGTTTTAATTTTTAAGAGTAAGTGGGGGGCTAGGAGCAGGTAGGTGTAGGTAGAACAGGCTCTTGAATGGGGGTCCAAGGAGACCCCAAGGTGAGGGGCTTGGTCCAGCTTTGGATCCACCAGTCTCCCTGGGCCACCCTAAATAAGCAGTGACTTGAGGAAAGGGGGTGCTCGCTGGCTCCAAGGCAAGCTCTCCCACCACCTCCGGCTCACCCTCCTTTCAGCCAGTGGGTGGCCTGCCCATGTGGCGGGGAGACCCTGGGAGGCCCTGGGGCGGGCCCTCCCCTGTGACTGCTCTGCCAGAGCTCAGACAAGGCCTTTCCAGGCCCTGATTTGATTTCCTCACCTGACTATGCAGGGAGGAGAGGGTATCATGCCCTTCCAGGACAGACAGTCTGGGCTTCTGGAGGCTGAGATAGGAGTGAGTAACTCAAGTGGCGTGAGCCCCCGGGAAATGAACGTTGCCTCTAAACAGGAACTTGAGACAAAGCTCTCCTCCAGCCCCTGCTGACCTAGCTTCCTGTCAGCCCATTAATCAGGCCCAGCCTAACCTCAAGGCCAAAGTGCCACAAAGAGGAGGGAGGGAGAGGAAAGGAGGAAGGAAAGGAGGGAATTGGCCTCCATTGAGCACCTGGTCAGCGCTACTCACCTTTGCCTGCACCATCTCATGGAGTCTCCCAGCCACCCTCTGAGACAGAACCCACTTTTCAAAGGAGAACTCTTAGTTCCCTAGATGTTCTGAAGGAAGTCACACCATTGATAGGGAGCCAGCCTTCGTGCTTCCCCCCCTTCATTCTAGGGCTCCATGGTGAATCCAGGAGTTTAAACTGACCGGGGAGGAAGAAGAGCTTTGGGCGTCCTGGAGAAGGTCACGCAGCCTTCTCCAGGATGCAAGGCAGGAAGGCTGGGCTGGCCAGACCCTGCCAAATACAGGCGACTTGAGGCAAGTCCCTTCACCTTTCTGAGGATCCCTCTGTCCAGTTAAAAGCTGGCATGGAGTGATCTTTGCCCTCGAGAGTAAGGTGATAAGTGCCTGGGCTTTGGAGCAAGACTTGATTTCCGATTCTGGGTCTGCTGTTCCCTGGGTGAATGGCCAGAGACAAGTCATTCCCCTCTCTGAACCTCACTTCCTGTGACAAACATGGGGGTGATGAAACCATCCTCATGGGGTTTTTCTGAGGACTGGGAGAAGACGTAGGTGGAGGGCCCCACAGACTGTGGGTGAGGGGTGGAGAGAAACCCAATGAGAAGGTATAGTGAGTGTGAGCTGTGGGACCGAGGTCTGCAAAGTCCCCACCACCTTGCTAAAGGACGAAGCAAGTGATGCCCCCTCCATCACCCCCCACTGCACCCCACGAGCCCGAAGCACTCTCAGGCTTGAAAGGGCAGACTCCACACTGCTACCTCTGTCTGACATCTTCACCTCCTTGGACCCACACCCGATCCTACCCATCCTGGCCCAGGCAGACCCATCCTGTTCATCCCTCGCCATCCTGGTGCAGGCCTCCCACCTCCACCCCACCCCCATTCTCCCACCCCCAGAACAAAAGGGACAGTTGACATTCTTTGTCCTGTGCAGACTTATTCTGTGAGTGCAGGACCCACCAGATCCTGCGGCTGGGACCTGCCACCTTCCCCGGAGTCCCAGCCCAGCTCTCTGGGGAGGCTTTGCTCAGGAGAGGGAGGGAGGGGCCTTAAAGGAGCAGAGCCTTCTTTCGGAAAACATTCCCTACCCCCAAGATCAGAATTAGCTGGAAGGAAACCAGATAAGGGAGGAGGACCAGAGAGGGGTCTGAGGAGACTGCAGTCATGTGACCTGTCGAGATTGGGATGGGAGCTAAATTGGGGCTAAAACTCACTCTCCTGGCTCCCAGCCAAGAGCTCTTTTCATTAACTGATTTTTCAGTGTGTTTTAAAGGAACTGGTCCCAACCCTGTCCTGATTTGCTGTGTGATGTTGGGTGAGCTCCTTTCCCTCTCTGGGTGTTAGTCTCCCTTGGGTAAAATGGAGGATCTCCCACATGAGAGATTTCCTGAGCTAGACCCTGGCCAGGTGCCGGATATCAAAGATCAGCCACGCTCCCGGAATCTAGTTCTAGGATTCCATCAGGAAAGAGCACAACGTGACTCTTGAGGCAAATGTAACATGGTTCCATTAAAGTAGAGCCCCCCCCAGATGGTGGAAGGGAGCTAGACTCCCAACCCTCACATTGGTACAGTCCTGTATCACCTACAAAGTTCATGTACCCTGTTTATCTATCAACAAACTCGTTGACAAACAAGACCAAATATTGTCCTCTTTCCACAGAAAATAAGGCTCCACCAGGGCCTGACACCCTGGGCTCACTGAGGACAGGTCCCTACCCACCCTGGAGCAGAGTGTCTGGAAAGAGATGTCTGAGCTGAATGGGGAAAGATGTGTACCTTTCAGCCTGCGTGACGGAGGTTCTGGCTGAGGGATCCCCATGGGCAAGGGACAGCAGTGCGACTCCAGCTACAGTTCACCTTGGCTGGAGCCTAGGGTGTGCCTGAGGCCGGAGCAGGAGAGGAGGCTGGAGGGTCTCACTGCTGGGCGTAGGAGTTTGTCCTGGCGCTGCTGAGGAGCCTTAGCCGGGTAGGGGTGGGATGTTATGCCAGGAGTGTTTGTAGTAAAGGGGGTGAACGCTGGGGCCCCAGGCAGAAGTCATGGAAGCTGGGACAGCTGTCCATAAGGGTACCTTCTGACAAAGGGGCTTTGGAGCCTCCACAAGCTGGGGGGGCAGGGGAGGGGGAGGAGTCCGTGGTGGAGCCGAGCAATTCCTCCTGGGAAAGAGGGGAAGTGAGCAGGGAGATGAAGCAGGGAGAGGAAATGAAAGATTAAGTGCATAAAGGCCATAAAGCTCGGGAGCGGCCAGGCCGGATGGATTCCAGGTTTATGGACACACTTACATCCAAGGATGCTCCACCAGGGCCTGACTCTCAGCAAGTGCAGCCGCCCAGGAAGGCAGAGGGGACACTGGGCTGGAAGGGACCTCTGTGCCCTGTGGTCCTCTCTTGCCACCCCCCTCACCTACCCCCAACTCCTCCCAGCTGGCTGACAGCCCAGCTGGAAGCAATTGTGGGAGCCCCCAGCCTGGAGAGCTGCATCCCACAAAGGGCCCTGGTAAATAGCAGCCCGCACCCCAGACAGGCGGCAGCACCACCTCCCCCAGCCTCCCTTTTGCAGCCCCCTGCCCGGAAATTCAAAACAACTGCTCAACACAGTGTTAAGTCCTCCAGGAAGGAGCTTGGGGTTGGCAGGCCCGGGTCTTGCTTGGAACTCCCTCTGCCCCCAGCCCCCACTCTGAACTCCCCTGAAATATCCGCCCCTTCCCTGAAGCCTTGCCATGGGCTCTCCAGCCCCTGGGTTTCCCATGCTGGCATTCACTGCAGGGCACGGCAGCCCTAGCTTGGCTGAATTGCCAAGTAGAGTGTGAGCACCGTGAGCTCGTGTAGTCTTGTCCCTAGCCCTGGGTCTGCCGTGGAGCAAATGCACCGCATGTATGTGAAGAATGAACAAATGAACCTGCTGTGTGACCCCGAACCATCACTCTGCTCTTTGGGCCTCAGTTTCGTCATCTATCAAATGGTCCTGATAACTTTTATCCAGTCTATTTCCCAGAGTTGTGAGAGTTAACTAAGAACGTTTATGCCGGTGTCTTAGTAAAATAGCTGCAAAGCTGATGGTTCACAAGGATTCTTGCAAGCCTTCCTGGCCTCAGTATGCTCCTCTGTAAAATGAGGGCCTGAGTTCAGCGCTAGCCAGGACCCAGTCTCAGCTTTGCTATTCTGAGTCTATAGCCAGACCTAAGGATGCCCAGACTTTCCTCAGCTCCTTAAATACCAGCTGGGTGGTAGGGGGCAGGTAGAGGATGTGGTGTCACAGAAGACCCCTGCCCAGCATTCAGAAGGCCCTATTTTAGTTCCAGCGTGGCATCTGACTCACACTGTGTTCTTCTCTGGGCCTTAGTTTCCTTCTCTGTAAAAGGGGAAGAGGTAGACACAGGAGGCCTACAGTAACTTTTAGCATTCAAGTTCATGACAGGACACTGCCTGGAGGGCAGCAGGAAGCCCTGATGGGCTCTGAGCAGGAGAGTGTGTGATCAAAGTGTTTTCAGAGCACTCGCTCTGGCAGTGGTGTGAT
The DNA here is from genome assembly GCF_000001405.40 of Homo sapiens. NCBI lineage: Eukaryota > Metazoa > Chordata > Mammalia > Primates > Hominidae > Homo > Homo sapiens. The sequence goes on along the minus strand of NC_000001.11, from coordinate 54,461,098 downwards.
TCATGGGGAGAGGGTGGGGAGTCTGTAGTCTGGAGACACGGAAGGGGCTGTTGCCTTTGCCCAGGCGGCAAAGATGGCGGCCTCCACACCTTTGCTCATGCGCTGCCCCATGCCTCTGCCTCTTCTCAGTATCTCCCGCTTTTATACTTTTATATCATTAGTCATATATACGTACATATGTACATATACACATATGTGTGTGTGAGTGTGTGTGTGTGTGTGTGTGTGTGTGTGTATATATATATATTTTTTTAAGACAGGTTTGCCCAGGCTGGTCTCGAACTCCTGGTCTCAAGGGATCCTCCTGGCTAGCCAGGTTTCAGGACCACTTCCTGCACAGTCTTCTCAGATTGTCTGTGATGCAGTTCATCTCCTCCGCCTGTGCCACCCAGTTTCCCAACTCTGTATTTTTATCTTGAGACCAGTTTGAATTACTGGTTTGAGTGTGTGTGTGTGTGTGTGTGTGTGTGTGTGTGTCTATTTCCTGGGCTGTGAGCTCCTGAGATCAGAGTGGTGCCCCACCCATCCCCATGTCATCTCCAGCACCCATCACCTGACCTGGCCCAGAGGAGGTGCTTGGTACCTGTGTACTCTGAGTCCAGCTGCAGCATAGGAGATGGGGCTCCAGCTCCGGCTGAACTACTAATAGCTGTGTGACCTGTCTCTTCTGGCCACATAGGATTACCCCTATTCTCAGGTCAGGATTCTGCAGGAGGGACCATCCTTGGGCTTATTCCTTGGCACCTCCCCTCAGCGATCTCTTTCCTGTGCCCCATGATCACGATAAGCTGTTTCAAGTGCAATTCCAGCCAGACCCCAAGCTCACTGAGAACCTCATCCTTGGGTCTGCACAGTGGTCTGCACAGCGGGCTGCTGACCAGCCTGCATAAGAAGGGCCTTGTCCACTCCACTCCCTCCCTCCCTCCTTCCCCATCCAAGGACCTCCATAAATAGTGACATGACTTTGAAAAATACATGACTTTGCAAGAGGCCAGAAGCATTCACTGCCGAGGCCCAGTTGCAGCCCTACCTCTGTCTCCTGCATACTCCTGCCCAGCCATCCTCCTGGGGCAAGTGTGGACTCCCTTGAGAGGTGTGGAGAAGAGGTGCTGTCAGCCCCTAAAGCAGATGGATCTCTAGTGGCACTAGTATGCCCCAGGCAAGCCCTGCACAAATCTCAGCCAGAAGCCCTCTCTACTCCCCCACCCCCAGGGGCTGGGACAGACCTCAGCCGGCAGCCTCCCAGCTTTGATCAATACAGGGCAAGCAGCCAAGAAGGCTGCAGGCTCCATCCTCCCAGGAGGCCCCAACTCAGCCGGGGTCACATGGGGGAGGGGGCCAACGCCTGGCTCAGGGGCTCAGCAGGGTGGGGCGGGGCAGGGGAGAGCAGGAAAGGCAGACATCACTCACACAGTCATCCATTCCTTCACCCACTCGCTCCTTCAAACACATTTGTTCAGTTCACAAATATTTAGTGAGCACCAACTCTACACCAGCACTGTCATTGGCACTGGGGACACAGCAGAGGACGGGACAGCAGCTCTCATAGAACTCGTGTTCCAGGGGGAGAGAGAGAGAGAGACAAAAGATGAAGGAACAGACACAAATAAAGAGGTAGTTTCAAAAGGCTGTAAAGATAAAATAGGATAGGGTGATAGAGTGATAGGACAACATTGTAAGTGGACAGAGAGGATGACAGTGGAGCTGAGATGAGGAGATGGCTTGGGTCAGGAGATTTGCAAGCAGGAAGCTTATTGGGGAGCACTTCTGGGCTGGACTCATGTGAGGTAGTAGGGAAGCAGGGTGGGGTAGAGGGAGAAGCTGAGCTGTGCTGCAGTCACAGGAAACACTTCAGCTGACTCCCATGGAGCTCCAGAGCAAGGAAAGATTTCCTTCCCTCCCTCCCTCCCTCCCTTCCTTCCTCCCTCCCTCCATCCCTCCCTCCTTCCTTCCTTCCTTTCTTCCCTCCCTCCCTCCCTCTGTCCTTCCTTCCTTCCTCCCTTCCTTCTTTCCTTCCCTCCCTCCCTCCTTCCTGCCTGCCCACCTTCCTTCCTTTCTTCCCTCCCTCCCTCCTTCCTTCCTTCATTCCTTCCTTTCTTCCTTCTTTCCCTCCCTCCCTCCTTCCCGCCTGCCCACCTTCCTTCCCTCCTTCCTTCCTGCCTTCCTCCCTCCCTCCCTTCCTTCCTCTCTCCCTCCCTCCTTCCTTCCTTTCTTCCCTCCCTCCTTCCTTCCTTTCTTCCCTCCCTCCTACCCTCCCTCCTTCCTTCCTCCCTTCCTTCTTTCCTTCCCTCCCTCCCTTCCTTCCCTCCTTCCTTCCTTCCTCCTTCCTTCCCTCCCTCCTGCCCGCCTGCCTTCATTCCTTCCTTCCCTCCTTCCTTCCCTTCCTCCCTCCCTCCTTCCTTCCTTCCCTCCCTCCCTCCTCACTTCCTTCCTTCCTACCTGCCTTCCTTCCTTCCATTCCTCCCTCCCTCCTTCCCTCTTTCTTTCCTTCCTTCCTTCCTTCATTCCTCCTTTCCACTCTGTCTCCCTCCCTCCCTCCCTCTCTCTTGCCCTCCCTCCCTCCCTTCCTCCCTCCCTTTCTTGCTTCCTTCCCTCCCCCAGGCTGGAGTGCAGTGGCAAGTTCAAGTGATCCTTCCACCTCAGCTTCCCAAGTAGCTGGGACCACAGGCCTGTGCCACCACACCCTGCTCATTTTTGTATTGTTGTAGAAACAGTCTCCCCATATTGCCCAGCCTGGTCTGGAACTCCTGGGCTCAAGCGATCCATCTGCCTTGGCCTCCCAAAGTGTTGGGATTACAGGCATGAGCCACTGTGCCCAGCCTTGCTCTGTCGCCCAGGCTGGAGTGCAGTGGTACAATCACAGCTCATCATAGCCTCAACCTTCTTGGCTCAAGCGATTCTCCGATGTCAGCCTCCCAAGTAGCTGAGACTACAGGCGCACATCATCACGCCTAATTTTTTTTTTTTTTTTTTTTGAGTAGAGATGAGGTCTCACTGTGCTGCCCAGGCTGGTCTTGAACTCGTGAGTTCAAGTGATCCTTCCACCTCAGCCTCCCAAACTGCTAGGATTATAAGCATGAGTCACCCAGCTGAGGTTTTTGTTTTTTTTTTTTTGAGACAGAGTCTGGCTCTGTCGCCCAGGCTGGAGTGCAGTGGCTTAATCTCGGCTCACTGCAAGCTCCGCCTCCCAGGTTCACACCATTCTCCTGCCTCAGCCTCCTAAGTACCTGGGACTACAGGCGCCCACCACTGCACCCGGCTAATTTTTTGTATTTTTAGTAGAGACGGGGTTTCACAGTGGTCTCGATCTCCTGACCTCGTGATCCGCCCACCTCGGCCTCCCAAAGTGCTGGGATTACAGGCTTGAGCCACCGCGCCCAGCCCAGCTGAGGTTTTTTGTTTTGTTTCTGTTTTGTTTTTTTTTTTTAGATTGATTGATTGATTGATTTAGAAACAGGGCCTCGCTCTGTCACCCAGGCTAGAGTGCGCTTACGCCATGATAGCTCCCTGTATGTAGCCTCAAACTCCTGGACTCAGGTGATGCTCCTGCCTCAGCCTCCTGAGTAGCTGGGACTACAGGCGTGCCCCACCACACCTGGCTAATTTTTTAATTTTGTTTTTAGAAATGGGGGTCTCACTATGTTGCCCAGGCTGGGAGGATAGCCTTTCAAAGTTGTCCCAGATGGAGGCAACGGGGCCAGGCCTTTGTACCTCACATTGGCCAACCATTGGATGTGGCCACCCAGGAAGGGGCAGGGCTTGGGGTGAGCCAGCTGTCTTTGGTGGAGAGTCATTCCCACAAAGTGCCAACTAAGAGCAGTCACTGCCAACACTCCCAGCCCCTAGGGAAATCAGTACCTCAGCCCTGAGGGGAGATCTGAGGGGCACATTACAGCATCTGCAAAGATCTGGAAGAAGAGTGTTCCAAAGAGAACAGCAAGCAATGCCCTGCAGCGGAAATGAGCTCTGCCTGCTTGAGGCACAGAAAGGCCAGTGCGGCTGGAGTGTGAAGTGTGCTGAGTGAGGGGCGAGTTGCAGGACAGCACCCAGAGAGGTAAGCAAAGGCCAGCAGAAAGGCCTTGTGAACCCTGGGACTTTATGCTAAGTGTAACAGGCTTTAGGAAGAGAGTGACCTGATAATCACCTCGTAAATGAGTTGCCCTGGCTTCTGGGTGCAGAATGGAGAGGGCTGGGAAAAGAAGAGCTGTTGGGAGCCTATGGGTAGGGTTCAATGGCGGTTTAACTAGGGCATGGACAATCACAACGTAGAGGCTGAGTGCTGAGATGAGGGAGGCCCGGGATACTATAGGGGCCCAGGGAGAGGGCTCCTGATACATCTTGGGCTACCACCGGGTGCTTTAGAGATGCTTCCAGCATCCCAGGGGGATGGCATACCAGATGAATTTAATATTTCCCAATCTTAAAATTCTGGAATTTTGCAGATTAGGGAAAAAAAAAAAACCTTGGAAACTCCTAGTTCCTTTCCCCAATGTGGGCAGGAATCTCATTTCCAAAATTGGTGACTAATGAGTGTGCAGCCCCTGCTGTGCCTCACAGGGATGAGAAGCTCACCATCCCCCACCATTCATTACCATCACCCTTCTGGGAAAGTTCTCTTTTTTTTTTTTGGCAGGGTCTCCCTCTGTCGCCCAGGCTGGAGTGCAGTTATGTGCTCTTGCCTCACTCCAACCTTCACCTCCCCGGCTCAAGTGATCCTCCTGCCTCAGCCTCCCTAGTAGCTGGGGCTACAAGCACCCACCGTCATGCCTGGCTAATCTTCTGGGAAGTTCTGAGAGCTGCTTCTTTGTAGCTGCTTCCCTGTTCTGCTCTGGGCCACACTGACTGCATCTATTCCCTCTGTCCCAATGTCCCCAAAAGATGAGGACATGGCTCTTGTCTCCACTCCCACCTGTATCTTCTTGCCTTGTGAGTTACCCTCAACAGGATCTTAGATGTTGCGCCGCAGGTCCCGACACAGCTCCCCTCCAGCCCCAAGCCTGGTCCCTTGCCAACCCACCAACACATTACAGCGATTCGTGTCTGAGTCCAGAAGGGTATAGAGAAGAGTCATTTTTATAGATTTGTAAGAAAAGTACATTTCCTTCCTGATGCATATTAAGGCAAAACCAGGCTGGGCATTAGAAAAGCTGGGTTTTGGCCTGTCTATGTGACCTTGGACCAGTCTCTTTCTCTCTCTGGGCTCCATTTGCTCCTTTCTGTCTGTCTCTCTCTTTTTTTTTTTTTTTAAAGACGGAACCCTGCTCTGTCACCCAGGCTGGAGTGCAGTGGCGTGATCTCAGCTCACTGCAACCTCCGCCTTCCGGGTTCAAGTGATTCTCCTGCCTCAGCCTCCTGAATAGCTGGGATTACAGGTGCGCATCACCATGCCTGGCAAATTTTTGTATTTTTAGTAGAGACGGGGTTTCACCATGTTGTTCAGGCTAGTCTCAAACTCCTGACCTCATGATCTGCCCCCACCTCGGCCTTCCAAAGTGCTGGGATTACAGGCGTGAGCCATCGTGCCCAGCCATTTGGTCCTCTCTAAATAAAGCTGGTCAACTGGATGGTATTTAAGAACTGCCAGGACCAAAATATCATGAATTTATGTGTAGGTTCATAATTCAAAACTTGAGCCAAAGGGAGTCAGAGAATTCCCTACCTTTGGGCCTGGAAAGGCCTCTCTCTGAAAGTCTAACCAATGCCCCCACCTCCATGCTACTTGCTCTGCTGAAATGACAAATCAGTTGATTGTCTACCTCCAGAGCTTATACACCTCCAGACATGGGAATCTTACTACCTTTATTAGACAATTTTATTCGAAAGCTCTTCAGGTAAATGCAAAGAGTCTATGATTCTATAAATAACACGATAACTTTTACCTTACTCTGGATCATTGCTCACCCATTCATTCATTCATTCAACAATATTCATTCAACAAATGAAGCAAAGGAGCACACAGCCAAGTGATGGAGCAAAATCACAAATTAAAAGGTAATTCAGGCCAGGTGAGGTGGCTCATGCCTGCAATCCCAATGCCTGTAATCCTCTGGAAGGTGGGAGGATCACTTGAGGTCAGGAGTTCAAGACCAGCCTGGCCAACATGGCGAAACCCCCATCTCTACTAAAAATACAAAAATTAACCGGATGTGGTGGTGCACACCTTTAGTCCCAACTACTCAGGAGGCTGAGGCACGAGAATTGCTTGAACCTGGGAGGCAGAGGTTGCAGTGAGCTGAGATTATGTCACTGCTTTCCAGCCTGGGTGACAGAGCAAGACTTTGTTTCTGGAAAAAAAAAAAAAAAAAAGTGGCCGGGTGAGCCAGGAGAATGGCGTGAACCTGGGAGACGGAGCTTACAGTGAGCCGAGATCACGCCACTGCACTCCAGCCTGGGCAACAGAGTGACACTCCATCTCAAAAAAAAAAAAAAAAAAAAAAAAAAAGGTAATTCGGATGGGCGTGGTGGCTTACACCTATAATCCCCGCACTTTGGGAGGTCAAGGTAGGTGGATTGCTTGAGCAGAGGAGTTCTAGACCAGCCTGGGCAACATGGCAAAACCACATCACTACCAAAAATACAAAAATTAGCCAGTATTATAACCCAGACTCAAAAAAATACATAAGCAAATATTTAAAAATAATAAAATAAAAGGTAGCTCAGATGGGCGTGGTGGCTCACACCCGTAATCCTAGCACTTTGGGAGGCCAAGGCAGGAGGATTTCTTGAGGCCAGGAGTTTGAGACCAGCCAGTGATAACATAGTGAAACCCTGTCTCTACAAAACATTAAAAAAATTAGCCCAGTGTGGCCGGGCACAGTGGCTCACGCCTGTAATCCCAGCACTTTGGAAGGCCGAGGTGGATGGATCACAAGGTCAGGAGTTCGAGACCAGCCTGACCAACATGGTGAAACCCCGTCTCTACTAAACATACAAAAATTAGCCGGGTGTGGTGGCACACGCTTGTAATCCCAGCTACTCAGGAGGATGAGGCAGGAGAATGGCTTGAACCCGGGAGGCAGAGGTTGCAGGGAGCTGAGATTGTGCCACTGTACTCCAGCGTGGGCGACAGGGCGAGACTCCATCTTAAAAAAAGAAAAAAAAAATTAGCCCAATGTGATTTCATTTGCCGGTAGTCTTAGCTACTCGAGAGGCTGCGGTAGGAGGATTGCTTGAGCCCAGGAATTTGAAGTTATAGTGAGTTGATTGTACCACTGCACTACATACAGCCTGGGCCACACAGTGACACTCTATCTCAAAATAAAACATAAAAGATAGTTTGTGTTCTTTGAGCATTTACTATGGCCCATCACTGACCTAAGCACTACCCACATGTGATCTCATTTAATCATCACAGCAACTCTATGAGCAATAAAATCATTGCCTCCCAGTTAACAAACCAACAAAGTGAGGGTCAGAGAATGTGTGAGTCAGGCCAGGTGCAGTGGCACGGGCCGATAATCCCAGCTACTTGGGAAGCTGAGACACAAGAATCAAATGAGGTAGAGGTTGTAGTGAGCTGACATTGTGCCACTGCACTACAGCTTGGGTGACAGAGCCAGACCCTGTCTCAAAAAAAAAAAAGAAAAAAAAAAAGAGAGTAAGTAAGTCAGAGTCCCAGTAGGAAACTGATAACAACTAAAAGGGTTTCTTGAAGACAGTCTAATAAAGGGACCGCTTACAGAGGCGAGGGAAGGGTTAAGGAAACCCACAAGGGATGGTGAGGTGCCCTAGGGTTAGCACAGTGGGGTGCATTTACCACCTATAGGTCTGGAGGGGGAGAGAAAGATTGTCACCAGAACCACGTGACAGCTGGAGCTGTGGAAATGGGGCCGACTGACAGGAACTGTGGCTGTAGAGAATAGGGGTGGGAGGTGGGGAATTAATACTCCTTCCTCTCCTTCTGGGACTTCCCATTGGTTGAATCCACAAGAAATGGGAAGGCAAGGTTTCCTGGGTGATTAGTCCACAGAGGTCAGCCTGCTGAGGCACAGAGCTGGCAGGAGAAAGATAAAGAATAGTTCTTGGGGAAGGGGTGGTGTAAACAGAGCATCCAATCCAGAGAGTTAGGTGATGTGTCCAAGCTGTCAAAGTCAATGAGTTGTGGAGTCATAGAAATAAAGACAAAATGATAAATACTGTATTCAAGTTTTTATATGTTATTTTTATTTATTTATTTACTTATTTTCAGTTTTTTTTTTCTTTGAGATGGAGTCTTGCTCTGTCACCCAGGCTGGAGTGCAGTGATGCCATCTTGGCTCACTGCAAGCTCCGCCTCCCAGGTTCATGCCATTCTCCTGTCTCAGCCTCCCCAGCAGCTGGGACAACAGGTGCACTCCGCCACTCCTGGCTAGTTTTTCTGTATTTTTAGTAGAGACGGGGTTTCACTGTGTTAGCCAGGATGGTCTCAATCTCCTGACCTCGTGATCCACCTGCCTCCACCTCTCAAAGTGCTGGGATTACAGGCATGAGCCACTGTGCCTGGCCCAGAAAATTATTTATTTATTTATTTATTATTTTCTTGTTCTGTCTTCCAGGCTAGAGTGCAATGGTGTGATCATAGTTCACTGCAGCCTTGAACTCCTGGGCTCAAGTGATCCCCTCACTTCAGCCTCCTTAGTAGCTGGGACTACAGGTGCACACCATTATGTGCGCCTGTAGTCCTGTATTCAAATTTTAAGAGCATGAAGGAGCATGTTGTGGGAGAGTTTGGGGAAGAGTTCACACAAAAGGACCTGGAAAATAGGCAGGAGTTTGCAGAGAAAGGGGAAAGGACAGCACATGCAATTTCATAACAGCACATTCAAAGGCTGGAGATGGGCAACAACACAGCCTGTTGGGCAGGGGTAAGCAGCTTTGAGGGGCTGGAGAATACTGGAAAGATTTCAGAAACCTGTGGAGGGGAGGCTGGAGAGGGAGCTCAGAAGTGTTACTGTTGGAACAAGCTAAAGCTACTACTTATCCATTAATAGCATTAATAATTTTTTTTTTTTTTGGGAGACAGAGTTACTCTTTCACCCAGGCTGGAGTGCAGTGGCATGATCTCTACTCACTGCAACCTCCGCCTTCCAGGTTCAAGCGATTCTCCTGCTTCAGCCTCCCAAATAGCTGGATAATTTTTGTATTTTTAGTAAAGACAGAGTTTTTGCCATGTTGGCCAGGCTGGTCTCGAACTCCTGACCTCAGGTGATCCACTGCCCTCAGCCTCCTAAAGTGCTGGGATTACAGCCATGAGCCACTGCGTACGGCCTCTTAATTGCTGAAGTTTTATAATTAGTTTTTATATAGGAAAGTGTAAATCCTCAAGCTTTGTATTTTCCCAAATCCTGCTCCCATAGGAACCAGCTCTTCTCTCTAACCCAGGGCCTTCCAGCCCTGCTTCCTCCTCTGTCCCCCAGGGCATGTGGAGCTGAATCCAGTTTGGATTATTTCATCACCTTACCTTTTGCTGACACAGACGACCACTTGCTTCTTGGAATGTGGTCTTCCTTGATCCTCTGTTACACTGTTAGTTTCTTTGCACTTTCATATGAATTTTAAAATAAAATTGTTAACCTAAAAAAAAAAAACTGTTGAAATTTTTATTGAAATTGCATTGAGTCCTTGGGCCAATTTGAGAAGACCTGGCCCCTTAACAATACTGAATCTTGCAATCTGTGAATGTGGTGTATTCCTTCATTTATTTAGGTCTTCTTTTATTTCCTGTAGCAATAATTTAAAGTTGTCAGTAAAAGGGTCTTACATATATTTCACTGCATTTATTCCTAGGTATTTGATTTTTTGATGTTATTGTAAATGCTATATTTTCATATTTCATTTTCTTTAAATTGTTTTTCTTTTCTTTTGTTTCTTTCCTTTTTTTTTTTTTTTAGAGATGGAGTTTCACCATGTTGCCCAGGCTGGTCTCAAACTCCTGGGCTCAAGCAATCTACTCACCTGGGCCTCCCAAAGTGCTGGGATTATAGACATGAGCCACCATCATATTATATTTTCTAATTGTTGCTAGTATATAGAAATACAATTATTTTTGTATATTGTTCTTATATCTAGCAACTTTGATACATAAATCCTAATACTTCATGTATAGATATTTTGGGAATTCCTGTGTACACAATCATATCATTAGAAAAGAATAACAGTTTTACTTCTTTTTCAATGCTTCCTTTTTTTTTTTTTGAGACAGAGTCTTGCTCTGTCACCCAGGCTGGAGTGCAGTGGTGTGATCTCAGCTCACTGCAAACTCCACCTCCCAGGTTCAAGCAATTCTTCTGACTCAGCCTCCCAAGTAGCTGGGATTACAAGTGTGTGCCACCATGCCTAGCTAATTTTTGTCTTTTTAGTAGAGACAGCATTTCACCATCTTGGCCAGGCTGGTCTTGAACTCCTGACCTCATGGTCCACCCGCCTTGGCCTCCCAAAGTGCTGGGATTACAGGCATGAGCCACCATGCCCAGCCGTTTACGTCTTTCATTACTTTTTCTTGCTTTATTATTCTAGCTAGGACTACTAATACAATGGTCGAACAAAAATGGGGGATTGGACATTTTTGTCTTGTTCCTGATATCAGAGGGAAAATGTTCATATTAAATGTGAGTTTAGCTATAGGATTTTCATGGATATACTTTCTTATATTAAAGAACTTCCCTTCTACTCCTATTCCTAGTTTGCTGCAAGTTTTTATTATGAACTGGTATTGAATTTTATCAAATGCTTATTTCTCCTTCTATTGGAATGATCATATTTATCTTTTCTTCTATGAATGTGACAAATTATGTTAACATATTTTAGGATGTTAAATTAAACTTGCATTTCTGGAATAAGCCTCACTTCATTCTACCCATATATCATTATATAGCATGGATCAGAATAAGCAAGACTGCAGGCAGTGAGACCAGTGAAAAGGCTGATACAGAGATCCCAGGGGGAGAGGAGCAGGACCTGAGTTAAGGTAGGGACTGTGGGAGATACTCTCAGAGGGTGGAGTGAGCAGGACTTGGTGACAAATTAGATTTGAGGCTTATAGAGACTAAAAGCTTCTGATTCAGGCATCGAAGTGGATAATAGTGGTGCCATCTTCAGGGAAGGGGACTGTAGGTCTGGGGCTGACAGTTGATGTATTATGTATGTAAGTGGAGCTGTTACAGGCCGGGCACAGTGGCTCACATCTGTAATCCCAGCACTTTGGGAGGCCAAGGTGGATGAATCATGAGGTCAAGAATTCAAGACCAGCCTGGCCAAGATGGTGAAACCCCGTCTCTACTAAAAATACAAAAACTAGCCAGGCGTGGTGGCAGGCACCTGTAATCCCAGCTATTGGGGAGACTGAGGCAAAGAACTGCTTGTACCCGGGAGGCAGAGGTTGCAGTGAGCCGAGATCATGCCATTGCACTCCAGCCTGGGTGACAGAGCAAGACTCTGTCTCAAAAATAAAATAAAATAAAATAAAATAAAATAAAATAAAATAAAATTAAATAAAATTAAATTAAATTAAAAGGTGGGGCTGTTTAGGAGACAGGTGGCCATAGAGGACTGGAGCTCAGAGGAGGGGTCTGGGTGGAGATGTCAATGTGGACGTCTTCTGCTTAAAGGAGGTGATAGATGCCTGGAGAACAGAGGACATAGCCTGGAGACAGAGTGCAAAGTGAAGAGAAGAGAAGCCCAGAACAGGCCCACATTTAAGAAGTAGGCTGGGAGTTTCCAAAATGGCCGAATAGGAACAGCTCCAGTCTACAGCTCCCAGCGTGAGTGATGCAAAAGACAGGTGATTTCTGCTTTTCCAACTGAGGTACCAGCTCATCTCACTGGGGCTTGTTAGACAGTGGGTGCAGGACAGTGGGTGCAGCCCACCGAGTGCGAGCCGAAGCAGGGTGAGGCATCATCTCACCCGGGAAGCACAAGGGGTCAGGGAATTCCCTTTCCTAGCCAAGGGAAGCTGTGACAGACAGCACCTGGAAAATCAGGTCACTCCCACCCTAATACTGTGCTTTTCCAACAGTCTTAGCAAATGGCACACCAGGAGATTATATCCCACGCCGGGCTCGGAGGGTCCCATGCCCACGGAGCCTCGCTCATTGCTAGCACAGCAGTCTGAGATTGAACTACAAGGCAGCAGCGAGGCTAGCGGAGGGGTGCCCACCATGCTGGGGTTTGAGTAGGTAAACAAAGCGGCCAGGAAGCTCAAACTGGGTGGAGCCCACTGCAGCTCAAGGAGGCCTGCCTGCCTCTGTAGACTCCACCTCTGTGGGCAGGGCATAGCTGAACAAAAGGCAGCAGAAACTTCTGCAGACTTAAATGTCCCTGTGTGACAGCTTTGAAGAGAGTGGTGGTTCTCCCAGTATGGAGTTTGGGATCTAAGAACAGACCGACTGCCTCCTCAAGTGGCTCCCTGACCCCCGAGTAGCCTAACTGGGAGGCGTCTCCCAGTAAGGGCCGACTGACACCTCACACGGCCGAGTGCCCCTCTGAGACAAAGGCTTCCAGAGGAATGATCAGGCAGCAACATTTGCTGTTCTGCAATATTCGCTGTTCTGCAGCCTCCGCTGGTGATACCCAGGCAAACAGGGCCTGGAGCGGACCTCCAGCAAACTCCAACAGACCTGCAGCTGAGGGTCCTGACTGTTAGAAGGAAAACTAACAAACAGAAAGGATATCCACACCAAAACCCCATCTGTACGTCACCATCATCAAAGACCAAAAGTAGATAAAACCACAAAGATGGGGAGAAACCAGAGCAGAAAAGCTGAAAATTCTAAAAATCAGAGTGCCTCTTCTCTTCCAAAGGAATGCAGCTCCTTGCCAGCAACAAAACAAGGCTGGACGGACAATGACTTTGATGAGTTGAGAGAAGAAGGCTTCAGACGATCAAACTTCTCTGAGCTAAAGGAAGATGTTCGAACCCATCGCAAAGAAGCTAAAAACCTTGAAAAAATATTAGACAAATGGCTAACTAGAATAACCAGTGTAGAAAAGTCCTTAAATGACCAGTGGAGCTGAAAACCATGGCATGAGAACTACGTGACGCATGCACAAGCTTCAGTAGCTGATTCGATCAACTGGAAGAAAGGGTATCAGTGATTGAAGATCAAATGAATGAAATGAAGTGAGAAGAGAAGTTTAGAGAAAAAAAGAGTAAAAAGAAACGAACAAAGCCTCCAAGATATATGGAACTATGTGAAAAGACCAAATCTGCGTCTGATTGGTGTACCTGAAAGTGACAGGGAGAATGGAACCAAGTTGGAAAACACTCTTCAGAATATTATCCAGGAGAACTTCCCCTACCTAGCAAGGCAGGCCAACATTCAAATTCAGGAAATACAGAGACCACCACAAAGATACTCCTCGAGAAGAGCAACTCCAAGACACATAATTGTCAGACTCACCAAAGTTGAAATGAAGGAAAAAATGTTAAGGGCAGCCAGAGAGAAAGGTCAGGTTACCCACAAAGGGAAGCCCATCAGACTAACAGTGGATCTCTCAGCAAAAACTCTACAAGCCAGAAAAGAGTGGGGGCCAATATTCAACATTCTTAAAGAAAAGAATTTTCAATCCAGAATTTCATATCCAGCCAAACTAAGCTTCATAAGTGAAGGAGAAATAAAATCCTTTACAGACAAGCAAATGCTGAGAGATTTTGTCACCACCAGGCCTGCCTTACAAGAGCTCCTGAAGGAAGCACTAAACATGGAAAGGAATAACTGGTACCAGCCACTGCAAAAACATGCCAAATTGTAAAGACTGTCGATGCTAGGAAGAAACTGCATCAACTAACGAGCAAGATAGCCAGCTAACATCATAATGACAGGATCAAATTCACACATAACAATGTTAACCTTAAATGTAAATGGGCTAAATGCTCCAATTAAAAGACACAGACTGGCAAATTGGATAAAGAGTCAAGACCCATCAGTGTGCTGTATTCAGGAGACCCATCTCATGTGCAGAGACACACATAGGCTCAAAATAAAAGGATGGAGGAAGATCTACCAAGCAAATGGAAAACAAAAAAAGGCAGGGGTTGCAATCCTAGTCTCTGATAAAGCAGACTTTAAACCAACAAAGATCAAAAGAGACAAAGAAGGGCATTACATAATGGTAAAGGGATCAATTGAACAAGAAGAGCTAACTCTCCTAAATATATATGCACCCAATACAGGAGCACCCAGATTCATAAAGCAAGTCTTTAGAGACCTACAAAGAGGCTTAGACTCCCACACAATAATAATAGGAGACTTTAACACCCCACTGTCAACATTAGACAGATCAATGAGACAGAAAGTTAACAAGGATATCCAGGAATTGAACTCAGCTCTGCACCAAGTGGACCTAATAGACATCTACAGAACTCTCCACCCTAAATCAACAGAATATATATTCTTCTCAGCACCACATCACACTTAATCCAAAATTGACCACATAGTTGGAAGTAAAACACTCCTTAGCAAATATAAAAGAATAGAAATTATAACAAACTGTCTCTCAGACCACAGTGCAATCAAACTAGAACTCAGGATTAAGAAACTCACTCAGAACCACTCAACTACATGGAAACTGAACAGCCTGCTCCTGAATGACTACTGGGTACATAACAAAATGAAGGCAGAAATAAAGATGTTCTTTGAAACCAACGAGAACAAAGACACAACATACCAGAATTCCTGGGACACATTTAAAGCAGTGTGTAGAGGGAAATTTATAGCACTAAATGCCCACAAGAGAAAGCAGGAATGATCTAAAATTGACACCCTAACATCACAATTAAAAGAACTAGAGAAGCAAGAGCAAACACATTCAAAAGCTAGCAGAAGGCAAGAAATAACTAAGATCAGAGCAGAACTGAAGGAGACAGAAACACAAAAATCCCTTCAAAAAATCAATGAATCCAGGAGCTGGTTTTTTGAAAAGATCAACAAAATTGATAGACCACTAGCAAGACTATTAAAGAAGAAAAGAGAGAAGAATCAAATAGATGCAATAAAAAATGATAAAGGGGATATCACCACCGATCCCACAGAAATACAAACTACCATCAGAGAATACTATAAACACCTCTATGCAAATAAACTAGAAAATCTAGAAGAAATGGATAAATTCCTGGACACATACACCCTACCAAGACTAAACCAGGAAGAAGTTGAATCCCTGAATAGACCAATAACAGGCTGTGAAATTGAGGCAATAATTAATAGCCTACCAACCAAAAAAAGTCCAGGACCGGATGGATTCACAGCCAAATTCTACCAGAGGTACAAGGAGGAGCTGGTACCATTCCTTCTGAAACTATTCCAGTCAATAGAAAAAGAGGGAATCCTCCCTAACTCATTTTATGAGGCCAGCATCATCCTGATACCAAACCCTGGCAGAGACACAACAAAAAAAGAGAATTTTAGACCAATATCCCTGATGAACATCAATGCAAAAATCCTCAGTACAATACTGGCAAACCGAATCCAGCAGCACATCAAAAAGCTTATCCACCATGATCAAATGGGCTTCATCCCTGGGATGCAAGGCTGGTTCAACATATGCAAATCAATAAACGTAATCCATCATATAAACAGAACCAAAGACAAAAACCACATGATTATCTCGATAGATGCAGAAAAGGCCTTTGACAAAATTCAACAGCACTTCATGCTAAAAACTCTCAATAAATTAGGTATTGATGGGATGTATCTCAAAATAATAAGAGCTATTTATGACAAATTCACAGCCAATATCATACTGGATGGGCAAAAACTGGAAGCATTCCCTTTGAAAACTGGCACAAGACAGGGATGCCCTCTCTCACCACTCCTATTCAACATAGTGTTGGAGGTTCTGGCCAGGGCAATCAGGCAGGAGGAAGAAATAAAGGGTATTCAATTAGGAAAAGAAGAAGTCAAATTGTCCCTGTTTTCAGATGACATGATTGTATATTTAGAAAACCCCATCATCTCAGCCCAAAATCTCCTTAAGCTGATAAGCAACTTCAGCAAAGTCTCAGGATACAAAATCAATGTGCAAAAATCACAAGCATTCCTGTACACCAATAACAGACAGAGAGCCAAATCATGAATGAGCTCCCATTCACAATTGCTTCAAAGAGAATAAAATACCTAGGAATCCAACTTAATAAGGGATGTGAAGGACCTCCTCAGGAAGAACTACAAACCACCGCTCGATGAAATAAAAGAGGACACAAACAAATGGAAGAACATTCCATGCTCATGGATAGGAAGAATCAGTATAGTGAAAAATGGCCATACTGCCCAAGGTAATTTATAGATTCAATGCCATCCCCATCAAGCTACCAATGACTTTTTTCACAGAATTGGAAAAAACTACTTTAAAGTTCATATGGAACCAAAAAAGAGCCCGCATTGCCAAGACAATCCTAAGCCAAAAGAACAAAGCTGGAGGCATCAGGCTACCTGACTTCAAACTACATCACAAGGCTACAGTAACCAAAACAGCATGGTACTGGTACCAAAACAGAGATATAGACCAATGGAACAGAACAGAGTCCTCAGAAATGATACCACACGTCTACAACCATCTGATCTTTGACAAACCTGACAAAAACAGGAAATGGGGAAAGGATTCCCCATTTAATAAATGGTGCTGGGAAAACTGGCTAGCCATATGTAGAAAGCTGAAACTGGATCCTTTCCTTACACCTTAAACAAAAATTAATTCAAGATGGATTACAGACTTAAATGTTAGACCTAAAACCATAAAAACCCTAGAAGAAAACCTAGGTGGCTGGGCGTGGTGGCTCATGCCTGTAATCCCAGAACTTTGGGAGGCCAAGGCGGGCAGATCACGAGGTCAGGAGATCGAGGCCATCCTGGCTAACATGGTGAAACCCCATCTCTACTAAAAATACAAAAAATTTGCCGGGCGTGGTGGCGGGTGCCTGTAGTCTGAGCTACTCAGGAGACTGAGGCAGGAGAATGGCGTGAACCTGGGAGGCGGAGCTTGCAGTGAGTGGAGCTTGCGCCATTGCACTCCAGCCTGGGCGACAGAGCAAGACTCTGTCTCAAAGAAAAAAAAAAAGAAAGAAAACCTAGGCAATACCACTCAGGCCATAGGCATGGGCAAGGACTTCATGACTAAAACACCAAAAGCAATGGCAACAAAAGCCAAAATTGACAAATGGGATCTAATTAAACTAAAGAGCTTCTGCACAGCAAAGGAAACTACCATCAGAGTGAACAGGCAACCTACAAAATGGGAGAAAATTTTTGCAACCTACCTATCTGACAAAGGGCTAATATCCAGAATCTACAAAGAACTTAAACAAATTTACAAGAAAAAATTCAAACAACCCCATCAAAAAGGGGCAAAGGATATGAACAGACATTTCTCAAAAGAAGACATTTATGTAGCCAACAGACACATGAAAAAATGCTCATCATCACTGGCCATCAGAGAAATGCAAATCAAAACCACAATGAGATACCATCTCACACTAGTTAGAATGGCGATCATTAAAAAGTCAGTAAACAACAGGTACTGGAGAGGATGTGGAGAAATAGGAACACTTTTACACTGTTGGTGGGACTGTAAACTAGTTCAACTATTGTGGAAGACAGTGTGGTGATTCCTCAAGGATCTAGAACTAGAAATACCATTTGACCCAGCCATCCCATTACTGGGTATATACCCAAAGGATTATAAATCATGCTACTATAAAGACACATGCACATGTATGTTTATTGTGGCACTATTCACAATAGCAAAGAGTTGGAACCAACCCAAATGTCCATCAATGATAGACTGGATTAAGAAAATGTGGCAATATACACAATAGAATACTATGCGCCATAAAAAAGGATGAGTTCATGTCCTTTGCAGGGACATGGATGAAGCTGGAAACCATCATTCTGAGCAAACTATCACAAGGACAGAAAACCAAACACCGCATGTTCTCACTCACAGGTGGGACTTGAACAATGAGAACAGTTGGACACAGGAAGGGGAACATCACAACCAGGGCCTGTTGTGGGGTGTAGGGAGGGGGGAGGGATAGCATTAGGAGATATACCTAATGTAAATGACGAGTTAATGGGTGCAGCACACCAACATGGCACATGGATACATATGTAAGAAACCTGCAGGTTGTGCACATGTACCATAGAACTTAAAGTATAATAATAATAATAATAATAATAATAAAAAGAAAGAAAAATAAAGCTGTGAGCTTCACCAGCAAGGCAACAAAAAAAAGAAGATGGCTGAAGAAGGCCGGGCACGGTGGCTCATGCCTGCAATCCCAGCACTTTGGGAGGCCGAGGCGGGTGGATCACAAGGTCAGGAGCTCGAGACCAGCCTGGCCAAAATGGTGAAACCCTGTCTCTACTAAAAATACAAAAATTAGCCAGGCATGGTGGCAGGCGCCTGTAATCCCAGCTACTCGGGAGGCTGAGGCAGGAGAATCACTTGAATCTGGGAGGCGGAGGTTGCAGTGAGTGGAGATCACGCCACCGAACTCCAGCCTGGGCAACAAGAGCAAGACTCTGTCTCAAAAAACAATAATAATAAAACAAAATTTAAAAAAAAAAAGAAGTAGGCTAAAGAAGAAGCCAGGGAATACGGAAAAAGAGCAACCAGAAAAGATGAAGGAAATCAAGGAGTCCAGGTGTCAAGGAAGTTAAGGAAACCACATCCCAAGGAGGGAGTAGTCAGCTGTGTCAACAAGGGGTCAAGTGGTTAAAGTATTCAGGTTGGGTTTAACTCCATGTCCCCTGGGGGGACAGAGGCACAGGCAGTGATTGGAAGCCCTGGGTCAGACAGAAGAGCTGGCTCACATGAAAGCAGGATCAGAGATCCAGTCCTCAAATTCCATACATCAGAGACTACACCTTAGTGAGGGGAAACATTTTGTTCAAGGTCACGCATCACAACTATGGCAAAACAAGGACCAGAAACCTGTCACACTAAATCCCAGGCCTAAGCTCTTTCAGAATTGCTCCTGTATTAGCCCATTTTCACATTGCTATAAAGAACTGCCCGAGACTAGGTAATTTATTTCATTTGTATTTATTTATTTATTTTTGAGACGGAGTCTTGCTCTGTCACCCAGGCTGGAGTGCAGTGGCATGATCTTGGCTCACTGCAACCTCGGCCTCTCAGGTTCAAGCAATTCTTCTGCCTCAGCCTCCCAAGTAGCTGAGATTACAGGCATGTGCCACCACACCTGGCTAATTTTGTAATTTTTAGTAGAGACGGGGTTTCTCCATGTTGGTCAGGCTGGCCTCGAACTCCCGACCTCAGGTGATCTGCCCGCCTCGACCTCCCATAGTCCTGGGATTACAGGTGTGAGCCACTGCGCCCGTCCCACATGTTGTTCCTTCAAACTGGAATGCCTTTTTCCATATCTAGTGAGCTAAAACTCAGTTGTTGAAAGCATCCTCAGTGTCACTTCTTCTAGGAAGCCTTCCCTGATCTCACCCCATCCCACTCCACTTGGACTGGGTTAGGTGCCACCCAAGTCCTCCCAGAGACTTCACAGCACTAATCACAAAATGCTAACATGCTGTGATTGGCCTCCCTCTGTCCCCCATTAGATTATGAACTCCTTGTGGGCAGGACTTCGCACTGAACTCTTTCTGCAACCTGACATCAACGGAAGCTTAGGCCAGACACCGTGGTTCACACCCGTAATCCCAGTACTTTGGGAGGCCGAGGCACAAGGATCACTTGAGGCCAGGATTTCAGGACCAGCTTGGGCAGCATAGCAAGACCTCATCTCTACTAAAATTTTTTCTAAAAATTAGCAGGGTGTGGTGGTATGTGCCTGTAGTCCCAGCTACTCAGGAGGCTGAGGAAGGAGGATTGGTGAGCCCAGAGTGTTGAGGCTGCAGCACGCCATGATCATGCCACTGCACTCCAGCCTGGACAACAGAGTGAGACCCTGTCTCAAAAAATATATATATAGTGAATATTGAATGAATACACAAATAAGTGAATAAATAAAGAGGGTCAGTTCTCTACCTGGTCTTGGCAGAAACAGTTCTTCCAGGGAAAGTGAGGAACAGAAGAAGGGATATAGGTGTAGGAGTGGTAGGTGGCAAACAAAAGTGAACAAGGGAGAGAAGGGGCTGCTAATATATCAGACCAGATATAGCAAGTAGGACTATTTTTTTTTTTTTTTTTTTTTTTTTGAGACGGAGTCTCGCTCTGTCGCCCAGGCCGGACTGCAGACTGCAGTGGCGCAATCTCGGCTCACTGCAAGCTCCGCTTCCCGGGTTCACGCCATTCTCCTGCCTCAGCCTCCCGAGTAGCTGGGACTACAGGCGCCCGCCACCGCGCCCGGCTAATTTTTTGTATTTTTAGTAGAGACGGGGTTTCACCTTGTTAGCCAGGATGGTCTCGATCTCCTGACCTCATGATCCACCCGCCTCGGCCTCCCAAAGTGCTGGGATTACAGGCGTGAGCCACCGCACCCGGCCGCAAGTAGGACTATTAGCATTGTTTAAGCAGCACTGTTGCCTGGTTGGCTCTATCTGCTATAGAAAGAAATACTTAGAGAGGCCTACAACTGGAGATTGAATTTTGGGTTCCATTTGGAACCTCCTAGGGTCATCTGTGAATTCCTGAGCCAGCAAGATGGATCTGAAAGAAAAGTAAAATAGACCTGGCTTTGAATCCCTTTTCTGCACCTGGTTCCCTGAGTGGCTTTGGAAAGTGTGTTATCTTCCTTGAACCTCCATTTCTGCATCTAAAAAATGGGGATAATAATGCCTCATCCCTCCTGGGTGGGTGTGAGGAATACATGAAGTAAGTTTGTGGAAGTGTCTGGCATGTAGTTGGCCCTCATAAATTGGGTTCCTTCCTGCCCTAAGGCAGGAGCTAATCTTTTCCTTTCTCTTACACTAGCACTCCCCCACAGCCTCCTACCCCCACCCAGGCCACTCCTCTCTCCCTCTTATGATACACAGCAAATTTTTTGTGCCTTTTGAAACACTTACTTAATTCATTGAAACCAGAAAAGTAAGGAACTCACTCATTGGTGTGAAGTGATGTCCATGTGAGTAGCTGGGCAGGGGTTTAGCAACACTCAGCCTCCCAGGGATGTTCACACCAAACCCGTGCAAAGCCACTGGCAAGGACGTGGGTGCCACCTCCCCGACTCTGAACAGTAGAGTGTAAGTGCAAGTAGAGTGGCAAATGGAATACTCTAGGAGCACTAGGGCAGGGTGGCAGCCACTAACATGATTTTGCATGTTCAGCATGGATTCCCTCTTCTTTGGGGACTAAACCTGACTCTCCTTTCTGGAACTGGCTCTGCCTTCCTGTTGGCTCCAGTGAGGCCGAACTCAGGCTGGCTTGGCTGATCAGAGCATCCACAGTGATTGAACACAGTGATTCGTTCTGAGGTGGTCACGTGATCCAGGTCTGGTCAAAGAGGAAAAGCTGGGATTCTTGGCAAAGCTACTAGGAGGTTACCAAGGAGGTTTTCATGGGGGTTACCAAGCTGATAGGACATAAGCCTGAAACCATCAGTGGCCATCCTTGGAGATCTCTGCCTGAGAATGAAGCCAACACCACAGAAAGCAGAGTGACGAATTAGAAACTGTTTCTTTTCTTTTCTTTCTTTTTTTTTAAGATGGAGTCTCCCTCTGTCTCCCAGGCTGGAGTGCAGTGGCACAATCTTGGCTCATTGCAACCTCCGCCTCCTGGGTCCAAGTGATTCTCATGTCTCAGCCTCCCGAGTAGCTGGGATTATAGGCGTGTGCCACCACACCAGGCAAATTTTTGTATTTTTAGTAGAGATGGGGTCTCACCGTGTTGGCCAGGCAGGTCTCAAACTCCTGACCTCAAGTGATCCACCCGCCTTGGCCTCCCAAAGTGCTGGGATTACAGGCGTGAGCCACCGCACCCGGCCAGAAATGTGTTTCTAACAGTGACATTTGAAACCCAGACCTAGCCAGGACTGGTAGCTGGTGCTAAACCAAGGCTTTTCGGTTACATGAACCAAAAAATTTGCTGTCTTATTTAAACCAGTTTGAGCCAGATTTGTCATGTGCAGATTAAATCACTAGGTGTGGAAAATTTTTTCTATTTCAAGGACCACCTTAGGAAAAAGTAATTTAGTAGTAATAGTGGCTTTCACAGAGAGCCCGTGGGTGCTTGTGAGACAGAGCTGGGTAGTAGACTCACTTTCTCCCTATGCATACAGTTTCATGCCTTTTACATTTTTTGACCATTAGAATATATTTTCTGTTTTTTAAAAAAATTCATTTACATTCAAGCTATGTAACTTGTTATTTAAAGAACAATAGAAACAATTTGATTTTTCACCTAAATTTATTTCTTGTTATGTCATTTTAGAAAATTTGAAATATACTAAAATATTGTAAAGAAGAAAATTAAGGCCAGGCATGGTGGCTCACGCCTGTAATCCCAGCACTTTGGGAGGCTGAGGCGGGCAGATCACGAGGTCAGGAGTTCGAGACCAGCCTGAACAACATGGTGAAACCCCGTCTCTACTAAAAATACAAAAAAAATTAGCCGGGCATGGTGGCACTGGCCTGTAATCCCAGCTACTCAGGAGGCTGAGACAGGAGAATCACTTGAACCAAGGAGGCGCAGGTTGCAGTGAGCCAAGATTGCGCCATTGCACTCCAGCCTGGGCGACAGAGAGAAACTCCGTCTCAAAAAAAGAGAAGAAAATTAAAAGCACCTACAACCCCACCATGGTTTGAATTTTAAGATATTTATTTTTGGTCTTTCTTCAATTTCTTTTCATGTTTTAAAATTCAACCTTGTTTTTTATTTTCTGTAGAAATGGGCTCTTACTATGTTGTCTAGGCTGGTCTCAAACTCCTGGCCTCAAGAGATCCTCCTGCCTTGGCCTCCCAAAGTACTGGGATTACAAGTGTTATCCACCACACCCAGCCTATTCAGTTTTATTTAATCTTTACAGCAACTTTCTGAGGTAAGGACCATCAGTGTCTCATTTTACAGAGGAGAAAACTGACACTTAGAGAAAAAGTGACTTGCTCAAATTCAGAGCTACTAAGTGATGTATAATCACATCATACATGTATAATTTGAAAAACAAATTGTCTCATATAAGTAATTTGTATTCTTATGTTTTCACCTAAAATTATATCATAAACATTTTTTGATGACGTTGATTATTTCTTTAAAACATGATTGGTGGCCGGGCGTGGTGGCTCACTCCTGTAATCCCAGAACTAAGGGAGGCCGAGGTAGGCAGATCATTTGAGATCAGGAGTTTGAGACCAGCCTGGCCAACATGGTGAAACCCCATCTCTACTAAAAATACAAAAAAAGTTAGCTGGGCGTGGTGGCCACGCCTGTAATCCCACCTACTAGGGAGGCTGAGGCAGGCAAATCACTTGAACCCGGCAGATGGAGGTAGCAGTGAGCCAAGATCACGCCACTGCACTCCAGCCTGGGCAACAGAGTGAGAATCTGTCTTAAACAAACAAACAAACAAAAAACATGATTGTCAGTGGCTGTAAAATATTCTCTTATATGACTGATTCATTATTAATTTATCTATTTGTGACCTATTGCTATTACAACTGTTTCGATGTGTCTTTTTTTTTTTTTTTTTTTTTAGACAGAGTCTCGCTCTGTAGCCAGCCTAGAGTGCAATGGCACAATCTTGGCTCTGCCTCCTGGGTTCAAGCGATTCTCCTGCCTCAGCCTCCTGAGTAGCTGGGATTAGAAGAGCCCATCATGCCCGGCTAATTTTTGTATTTTTAGCAGAGACGGGGTTTCACCATATTGGCCAGGCTGGTCTCAAACTCCTGACCTTAAGTGATCTGCCTGCCTCGGCCTCCCAGAGTGCTGAGATTACAGGTGTGAGTCACCACGCCTAGCCTTCAATGTGTCTTTTAAATTTTGTTGTGATAAACTCTCTAGTAAGTGAATATTCGTATCTCTGGGTATTTGTTCGGGTTCATTCCCAGAAGCCTATTTCCTGGGCAAACAAAATGAAGCTCCTGACATAGGTCGCCACCCTGCCCTTTAGAAGGGCTGGTGCCAGGAACTGTCTCAATGACATCCATGAGGGTACCCAGGCTACCGCAGCCTCACCAGCACTGGTCACTAATGACCCACCTTATCTAGGTCTCAGATGTGGACAGGACAGCAGACTCCAGAATTTCCTGTTACTTTTGACTTTATTGCTTGCAATTTGGTCATAGGTCCTTATTATAAAACTCAGTCATAAGTTGGGAATGGAAGAAAGTCTAAACATGATTAAGCAAATGGAAGAAGTAATTGAGAATCCAGGGGCAATAAAGACAGCAAGTTGCGGCCGGGTGCGGTGGCTCACACCTGTAATCCCAGCACTTTGGGAGGCCGAGGCGGGCAGATCACGAGGTCAGGAGTTCGAGACCAACCTGGCCAACATGGTGAAATCCCGTCTCTACTAAAAACACAAAATTAGCTGGGCATGGTGGTGTATGCCTGTAATCCCAGCTACTCGGGAGGCTGAGGCAGGAGAATGGCTGGAACCCAGAAGGCAGAGGTTGCGGTGAGCCCAGATTGCACCATTGCACTCCAACCTGGGCAAGAGGAGTGAAATTCCCTCTCAAAAAATAAAAATAAAAAAAAAAAAGATTGCCGCCGGGCTTGGTGGCTCATGCCTGTAATCCCAGCACTTTGGGATGCCAAGGCGGGCAGATCACAAGGACAGGAGATCGAGACCATCCTGGCCAACATGGTGAAACCCCATTTCTACTAAAAATACAAAAATTAGCTGGGCGTGATGGCGCATGCCTATAGTCCCAGCTACTCGGGAGGCTGAGGTAGGAGAATCGCTTGAACCCAGGAGGTGGAGGTTGCAGTGAGCCAAGATCACACCACTGCACTCCAGCCTGGTGACAGAGCGAGACTCCCATCTCAAAAAAAAAAAAAAGAAAAGAAAAAAAAGATGGCTTGAATGTTGACAAGGGAGTAGGCTCAATGGAACATTCTTATTGCTGTATAAATTTTGAAGGTAATTTGTTCACCTATACTACAAGATACTATGAAGTTATTAAAAAAAAATGAGATGGGTTGGGCATGGTGGCTCACACCTGTAATCCCAGCACTTTGGGAGGCTGAGGAGGGTGGATCACTTGAGGTCAGGAGTTCGACACCAGCCTGGTCCACATGGCAAAACCCCATCTCTACTAAAAAATAAAAAAATTAGCCAAGTGTGGTGGTGCCCACCTATAATCCTAGCTATTTTGGAAGGTGAGGCAGGAGAATCACTTGAACTTGGGAGGCAGAGGTTGCAGTGAGCCAAGATCACACCACTGCACTCCAGCCTGAGTGAGACAGAGTGAGACTGTCTCAAAAAAAAAAAAAAAAAAAAAAAAAAGATTTAGACATCTCTAAATGTAACATGAAAAGATGTTCATATAGGATCTATTTAGGTGAAAAAAACAAGTTACAGAACAGTAAATATAAGATGAATTCATTTGTTAGAAATAAAAAGAATAGGGGCCTGGCATGGTGGCTCACGCCTGTAATCCCAGCACTTTGGGAGGCTGAGGCGGGCGGATCACCTGAGGTGAGGAGTTTCAGACCAGCTTGGCCAACATGGTGAAACCCCATCTCTACTGAAAATACAAAATTAGCTAGATGTGGTGGTGCATGCCTGTAGTCCCAGCTACTCGGGAGGCTGGGGCAGGAGAATCGCTTGAAGCCGGGAGATGGAGGTTGCAGTGAGCCGAGATCATGCCACTGCACTCCAGCTTGGGTGACAGAGTGAGACTCTGTCTCAAAAAAAAAATAATAATAATAATAATAAAATAAATAAATAAATAAAAAGAATAGGCTGGACACAGTGGCTCACACCTAGAATCCCAAAACTTTGGGAGGCTGAGGTGAGTGGATTGCTTCAGCCCAGGAGTTGGAGACCAGCATGGACAACATAGCAAAACCCAGATTCTACTAAAAAATACAAAAATGTGCCAGGTGTGGTGGTGTACACCTATAGCCCCAGCTACCTGGGAGGCTGAGGTGGGAGGATCCCCTAAGCCTAGGAAGGTCAAGGTTGCAGTGAGCCATGATCCAGCCAATGCACTCCAGCCTGTGTGACAGAGACCCTGTGTCAAAAAAAAGGAAAGAAAGAAAAATATATATACATAAATGTGTTTGGAGATATGTAGAAAATAATTGAAGCAAATCATCAGAAACTGTAAACTCTAAACTGTTGGGGTTATCCGTTGGGCCAAAGCCAAACTCTCTAGCTACCTCCCCACCATAACTTTTCACCACGTCCCCTAATGCTCCCTGTTGTTTCACACCTCTGTGATTTTACTTTGCTGACTCCTCATCTACCATTTCCTAGTCCGCCATCATCTGCCTGGCAATTCCTCTTCATCCTTTAAGACTCACTCAACCCCTTCCCCCTCTGGGTCATCATTCCAGATTTTCTGAAATAAAATACTCATTTGTTCCCTTGTGCCACATTGCATGTCCCTCTATCTCAGTTCTTTTATTATTGTTGTTGTTGTTATTATTATTATTTTGAGACGGAGTTTCGCTCTTGTGGCCCAGGCTGGAGTGCAATGGCACGATCTCGGCTCACTGCAACCTCCACCTATCAGGCTCAAGCAAGCCTCCCACCTTACCCTCCCAAGTAGCTGGGACCACAGACACACACCACCATGCCTGGCTAAGCTTTTGTATTTTTGGTAGAGACAGGGTTTCACCATGTTGGCCAGGCTGGTCTTGAACTACTGAGCTCAAGTGATCAGCCCGCCTCAGCCTCCCGAAGTGCTGGGATTACAGGAGTGAGCCACAGTGCCTGGCCTCCTCTATCTTAGTTCTTTTTTTTTTTTTTTTTTGAGATGGAGTCTCACTTTGTTGCCCAGGCTGGAGTGCAGTGGCGTGATCTCAGCTCACTGCAAGCTCCACCTCCCGGGTTCACACCATTCTCCTGCCTCAGCCTCCCAAATAGCTGGGACTACAAGTGCCCATCACCACGCCTGGCTAATTTTTTTTTTTTTTTTTTTGAGACGGAGTCTTGCTCAGTTGCCCAGGCTGGAGTGCAGTGGTGCCATCTCAGCTCACTGCAAGCTCCACCTCTCCAGTTCACGCCATTCTCCTGCCTCAGCCTCCCGAGTAGCTGGGACTACAGGCGCCTGCCACCACACCCGGCTAATTTTTTTTGTATTTTTAGTAGAGACAGGGTTTCACCATGTTAGCCAGGATGGTCTTGATCTCCTGACCTCGTGATCCACCTGCCTCGGCCTCCCAAAGTGCTGGGATTACAGGCGTGAGCCACCGCACCCAGCAAATTTTTTGTATTTTTAGTAGAGATGGGGTTTCACTGTGTTAGCCAGGATGGTCTCAATCTCCTGACCTCGTGATCCGCCCCCTCAGCCTCCCAAAGTGCTGGGATTACAGGCGTGAGCCACCGCGCCCCACCCCCTTATCTTAGTTCTTATAATTTCCCATTAAACTGTATATTTGTGCCTGTCAGCTTTGTTAGACTTGGAGCTCCTTGAGGGCTCAGATATTTAATCTCTAAACTTAGTTAATGTTTATGGAATGAAAAAATGAGCATACCACTTGGCTGGCATGTCTCCATTCCACTGATTTGTCTTTACTTGCCAAGCCGTCTCCTCTCCTTGCCTTTTCATCATGGTTCCCTAAAACGGATACCCGACAAGTGACTGTGGGCACTGTCTCTACGGAGGAAAGCTGGCTATGTATGCATGCACACCACATGCACTCCCATGTACACACATTGGCACACACACACAGACGCTCATGTTTCACACTGTGATTCCATCTGTGCCCATAAACTCATGAAGCTTTCCCCCACCCCCAGGGCTAAGAGCAGACCTTGTTCTAAGCAGACCCATTCTTAGATACTATACCTTTGAGATCCACTTTTAGTTCAGCACTTTTGATAAGAATACAGGTATGTCTTTGCTGTTGTCAGACAGGAGCATGGAAGATAAAGGCAAGAGTACGTGGGCACCTCGCTTGAAGCTTCCAAGTGCTCTCTTAGATCTGGGGAGGACAATGGAAAGCCACACCCCCACAAACATGCCTCGGCCCTCCAGTTTTACTAAACAGCCAACCTATCAAGAAATACCACAGGAAAATGTTTTGTTATTTGCTTTATAACAGTTTTTGAGTTCATTCTCTGTGATGTCATACACTGCATCCATTAGGATTTTTGTTCTTTTTTTTTTTTTTTTTGAGATGGAGTCTCACTCTGTCACCCAGGCTGGAGTGCAATGGCCCAGTCTTGGCTCACTGCAACCTCTGCCTCCCAGGTTCACACAATTCTCCTGCCTCAGCCTCCTGAGTAGCTGGGATTACAGGTGTGCGCCACCACGCCCAGCTAATTTTTGTATGTTTAGTAGAGACGGGGTTTCGCCAAGTTGTCCTGGATGGTCTTGAACTCCTGACCTTGTGATCCACCCCCACCCCCCTCGGCCTCCCAAAGTGCTGGGATTACAGGCGTGAGCCACCGCGCCTGGCCTGTTCTTTTTTTTTTTTTTTTTTTTGAGACCGAGTCTCGCTCTGTTGCCCATGCTGGAGAGCAGTGGCGCAATCTCGGCTTACTGCAACCTCCGTCTCCTGGGTTCAAGTGATTTTCTTGCCTCAGCCTACTGAGTAGCTGGGATTACAGGGATGCACCACCATGCCCAGCTACTTTTTATATTTTTAGTAGAGATGGGGTTTCACCATGTTGGCCAGGCTGGTCTCGAACTCCTGACCTCAGGTGATCTGGCTGCCTCGGCCTCTCAAAGTGCTGGGATTACAGGCATGAGCCACTGCATCCGGCTGAGGGTTTCTGTTCTTAAGCAACACAAACTGACTATGGCTAATGTGGGCCCAAAAGGAATCCCTGTGAGGGCTATGATGTAGCTTGTGGAACCGAGGAAAATGCTGAACCATGTATCCTTGGAGAGGACGCTGTGGGATAGTTCTGGAGATCCAAGCAGCAGGAACTGGCAGACAGCCTTTATTTATTATTTTTTTAAATTTTATTTTATTTTATTTTACTTTACTTTGAGACAGAGTTTCGCTCTTGTTGCCCAGGCTGGAGTTCAATGGCGTGATCATGGCTCACTGCAACCTCCACTTCCCGGGTTCAAGCGATTCTCCCACCTCAGCCTCCTGAGTAGCTGGGATTACAGGTGCCTGCCATCAAGCTTGGCTAATTTTTGTATTTTTTTTTTTAGTAGAAATGGGTTTCACCATATTGGCCAGGCTGGTCCTGAACTCCTGACCTCAGGTGATCCACCTGCCTCGGCCTCCCAAAGTGCTGGGATTATAGGCGTGAGCCACCGCATCTGGCCAAGCAGATGGCCTTTTAAAGGCCCATATCAAGGCCAGGCACGGTGGCTCACGCCTGTAATCCCAGCACTTTGGGAGGCCAAGGCAGGCGATCATCTGAGGTCAGGAGTTTGAGACCAGCCTGGCCAACATGGTGAAACCCCGTCTCTATAAAAAATACAAAAAAATTAGCCGGGCATGGTGGCGGGTGCCTGTAGTCCCTGCTACTCAGGAGGCTGAGGCAGGAGAATGGCTTGAACCCAGGAGGTGGAGCTTGCAGTGAGCCGAGATCATGCCACTGCACTCGAGCCTGGGTGACAGAGCAAGACTCCGTCTCAAAAAATAATAATAATAATTTAAAAAATTAGCTAGTTGTGGTGACACACAACTGTAATCCCAGCTACCCAGGAGGCTGAGGCATGAGAATTGCTTGAACCTGGGAGGTGGAGGTTGCAGTGAGCCAAGATTGCACCACTGAACTCCAGCCTGGGCAACAGAGTAAGACTGTCTCAAAAAAAGAAAAAAAAAAGGCCCATATCAAACATCTCTTGTGCTCACGTCCTCTCGCGCTCCCCTCTACTACCACTGTGGTCTTCTCTGCACGGGTTTGTCCCATATGCATGGACAGTGCTTCATCTTGAAATGCGGTGTTCTGCAGCCTCTGCCCCAAGCTTCTCCTAACAGCCACCTAAGGTTCCTTTGGGAACCTGCTGGGCATCCCAGAGAAGTAGATCCCAGAGAAGTGCACCCTTATCCAGTGGGGACAGGAGCCAAGGCACACATGCTTCTCCCTTTCCCCACCCCTCTGCAAGACTGTTCTGAGACCCATGCTCTACTCCTTCGAAGGTTCCAGTGGGTTGGAGCGGCTGCCTTGATCATCCTTGTGCTAGAGTTCTCTTCCCTGTTTCTCTCTTCCTTGTTTCTCCCTCCTGCTCCCTGGAATCCTTTCCCAAATGCACATCCTGCACCCAAGTCCTTGCTCAGGCTCTAAGTTCGGGGGAGTCCAGACTAAGATGAAATCCCGGCTGGGCACGGTGGCTCATGACTGTAATCCCAGCACTTTGGGAGGCCAAGGCAGGTGGATTGCCTGAGCTCAGAAGTTTGCGATCAGCCTGGGCAACACGGTGAAACCCCGTCTCTACTAAAATACAAAAAATTAGCTGGGCATGGTGGCAGGCGCCTGTAGTCCCAGCTACTTGGGAGGCTGAAGCAGGAGAATTGCTTGAACCCAGGAGGCAGAGGTTGCAGTGAGCTGAGATCGAGCCACTGCGCTCCAGCCTGGGCGACAGAGCGAGACTCCGTCTCAAAAAAACAAGACTAAACTCCAGTTTGGGGATGAACTGACTACCTTGTGAGACAGGCTATGATTCCAATTCCAAGGGTAAGCCTGTAATTGGCCAGGCCCAGATCAGGGGCTAGCCTTTGGCCAGACTGATGGAAGTTCCCACAAGACTCTATCCCGGGGTGGAGAGATAGGTCCCCAAGCCAATCAACATGGTTATCAGAAGTGCAACAGATCCCCTTCACTGGGGTTTCTCCACACTCAGGAGGTGCTGGGGCATCTCACACACCCCACGCCTAACCCAAGGTGTTTCCCACTCAGACCTTCTCTGGCATTCCTTCCTTGGTACATGGCACACTGTCCTCCCAGATGCCCAAGCCTGATGAGGCCCTCATCTCCCCTCATTTCCATGGGAGCCAGTGGACCCCAGCTTGGCGACCCCACCTCCTTCCTCCTTCCAGACTCGTCTGCTCTCCATCTCATGGCCACTGCCCAGTATCCCTCCCTGAGTGCATCAGTCTTCTAACTGGTCCTCCTGCACTCACTCGCTCCCTTTCTGTCTCTCTCAAATTGTTCCTAGCTACTAGAGTGATTTTCCTAAGAGACAGATTTGAACAAATCACTGCTGGCTGGGTGTGGTGGCTCACGCCTGTAATCCCAGCACTTTAAGAGGCTGAAGTGGGCAGATCGTTTAAGCTCAGGACTTCGGGACCAGCTTGGGCAACATGTCAAAACCCAGTCTCTCCAAAAAATAAAAAAATAAAAATAAAAATGTATATATATATACACACATACACACACACACACACACACACAAACACACAAATTACCTGGGCGTGGTGGCATGTGCCTGTAGTTCCAGCTACTTGGGAGGCTGAGATGGGAGGATCACCTGAGCCTGGGAGGTCAAGGCTTCAGTGAGCTGTGATCGTGCCACCATGCTCCAGCCTGGGCAACAGAGGGAGATCCTGTCTCAAAAAAAAAAAAAGAAAGAAAAAAAATCATTTTGCTGCTTAAAACTCCTGATCAGCTCCCCATTGCTCTCAAGATAAAGTCTTGGCACTTTAAATGGCATAATCTTCTCATGACCTGGCCCTACGGGCCTCTCCATTAGCCATTCCTCCCTCCTCATGCAGCTTCCCGAGCAGCCACACTGAGCTACAGGCCATTCTCTTTTATCTATTCCTGGTGCCTGGAATGCTCTTCTGCAATAGTGAGTATGCCTTCAACTGCAAATAACAGAACATCCTGATTCAAACTGGTTTAAACCATCAGGAAACACGTTATCTCGCAAGATGGGCCCCAGGCCCTATACAATCAGCAGCTCAGAAATGTTGAGAAGCCAGCTCTTTCTGTCTCTTCTCTGCTATCTGTGGGGTCAGATTCATTCTAAAGTTGGATCCTCTCTGGGTTGGAAGAATACAGCAGCAAATTCAAACTTCACACCCAGACATGACAACAGCCACAGGAAGAAAAATGGGCCACGTCTGGCGTCTCTGTATTAGCTGCTCAGAAACACTTCTCAGAAGCCCCTTAGCAGACCTCCCCTCACCTCACGTCGGCCAGGATGGTCACATGCCTGTCCTTAAACTAATCACCAGCAACGGAAGTGAGATTAAAATCAGTGGAAAGGATCTGGGGGGGTCAACCTCCATCCACGACTCCAACAACTGCCTTTTTCTTTTTCTTTTTCTTTTTTTTGAGACATAGTTTTGCTCTTGTTGCCCAGGCTGGAGTGCAACGGCGCGATCTCAGCTCACTGCAACCCCCGCCTCCCAAATTCATGCAATTCTCCTGCCTCAGCCTCCCGACTAGCTGGGATTACAGGTGCCTGCCACCACGTCTGGCTAATTTTTTTTTTTTTCTTTTTTTGTTGTTGAGACGGAGTCTCGCTCTGTTGCCCAGGCAGGAGTGCAGTGGTGCAATGTCAGCTCACTGCAAGCTCCGCCTCCCAGGTTCATGCCATTCTCCTGCCTCAGCCTCCCAAGTAGCTGGGACTACAGGCACCTGTCACCATGCCCAGCTAATATTTTGTATTTTTTTACTAGAGACGGGGTTTCACCATGTTAGCCAGGATGGTCTCGATCTCCTGACCTCGTGATCCACCTGCCTCGGCCTCCTAAAGTGCTGGGATTATAGGTGTGAGCCACCGCGCCTGGCCAATTTTTGTATTTAAAGTAGAGACGGGATTTCACCATGTTGGCCAGCCTGGTCTTGAACTCTTGACCTCAGGTGATCTGCCTGCCTTGGCCTCCCAAAGTGCTGGGATTACAGGTGTGAGCCACCACATCTGGCCACCTGCCGTTTTTATTTGGCTATTTTTTTTCAAACTCAAGTGTTATCTCCTCTGAATAGTCATCAAAAGACAACATCCCCCTTCTGATGTGTCTGTCTGTCCCACTAGACTGTAAGCTCTGTGCTGGTTCTTCTTATATAAGAAGCTGGTTCTTATTGACTCTGTATCCCCGGTGCCTAGCTCAAGGCTGGTACACAGGAGAAACAGTTTACTTGTTGAATATTTCTGTAATTAAAAAATAGGCTGGGCTCAGTGTCTCACACACCTGTAATCCCAGCACTCTGGGAGGCCGAGGCAGGTGGATTGCTTGAGCCCAGGAGGTCAAGACTAGCCTGGGCAACATGGTAAAAACTCATCTCTACAAAAAAAATTAAAAAACAAAATTAGCAGGGTGTGGTGGCACATGCCTGTAGTCCCAGCTACTTGGGAGGCTAAGGTGGGATGATCACTTAAGCCCATAGGTAAAGGCTACAGTGACCTGTGATCATGCCACTGTACTCCAGCCTGGCCGATAGAACAAGACCCTGTCTCAAAAAACAAAACAACAATAACAACAGCAACTTTAGGCCAGGTGCGGTGTCTCAAACCTATAATCCCAACACTTTGGGAGGCTGAAGTTCAAGGATTCCTTGAGGCTTGGGGTTCAAGGCCAGCCTGGGCAATATAGCAAGACTCTATCTCTATATAATTTAAAATAAAAACAGACAAAAACAAAAAACTTTATTTATTATTATCTTTTTTAAATTTTTGAGATGGAGTCTCATTCTGTCCCCCAGGCTGGAGTGCAGTGGCGAGATCTCGGCTCACTGCAACCTCTGCCTCCTGGGTTCAAGCAATTCTCGTGGCTCAGCCTCCTGAGTAGCTGGGATTACAGACACCTGCCACCACGCCCGGCTAATTTTTTTGTATTTTTAGTAGAGATTGGGTTTTGCCATGTTGGCCAAGCTAGTCTTGAACTCCTGACCTCAGGTTATCCACTCCCCTCAACCTCCCAAAGTGCTGGGATTACAGACATGAGCCACCGCCCCAGCCAAAAACTTTATTCTTTAAATCAAAATGTATCTTACCATACATTCTGTCTGTAACCAGTTTTTTCTATTTAACAATATATCATAAAAATATCTTTCCATCATATTGTGTCATTTTAATAGCTACATAGTGTTTCATGGCATTGACACACTGTGCTACAAATTATTCAACCCTTACTGGTGATTGGTCATTTAGATTGTCTCTTTTTTTTTTTTTTAGCATTATAAACAATGTTGTGGTATATACTAACAATGTTTATATACTAATTTATAAATTTACAATACTATAAACAATGTTTTAGCATTATAAACAATGTTGTGGTAAACTTCCTTTTACATAGATCTTAGACACTTGTGTTACTTACCTATGATAAATCCCTAAGAGTGGTATGTGGCTTAAAAAAATCAGATAGGGGCTAGGCGCAGTGGCTCACGCTGGAAATTCCAGCACTTTGGGAGATCGAGTTGGGAGGATTGCTTGAGCCCAGGATTTTGAGACCAGCCCGGGCAACATAGTAAGACCCCATCTCTACAAAAAAATCTAAAAAATTAGGCCAGGAGAGGTGGCTCACGTCTGTAATCTCAGCACTTTGGGTAGGCCAAGGCAGGCAGATCACTTGAGGGCAGAAGTTTGAGACCAGCCTGGCCAACATGGTGAAACCCTGTCTCTATTTATTTATACATTTTAATTTTATTTATAAATTAAAAATAAAATATATTTTAAAAGTTAGCCAGGTTGGCCGGGCACGGTGGCTCACGCCTGTAATCCCAGCACTTTGGGAGGCCAAGGCGGGCGGATCACGAGGTCAGGAGTTCAAGACCAACCTGACTAACATGGGGAAAACCCGTCTCTATTAAAAATACAAAAATTAACCAGGCATGATGGTGCGCGCCTGTAATTCCAGCTACTCAGGAGGCTGAGGAAGGAGAACTGCTTGAACCCGGGAGGCAGAGGTTGCAGTGAGCGGAAATTACGCCACTGCACTCCAGCCTGGGAGGTAGAGTGACACTTCATCTCAAAAATAAAATAAAGTAAAATAAAAAATAAAAATAAAAATTAGCCAGGCATGGTGGCACACACCTGTAGTCCAGCTACTTAGGAGGCTGAGGTGGGAGGATCACTTGACCCTGGGAGGTTTAGGCTGCAGTGAGCTGAGATCACACCACTGCACTCCAGGCTGGGTGACAGAGTGAAACCCTGTCTAAAAAAAAAAAAACTTAATGAAAAAAATTCAAAACCAGATGACTGAAAATTATTTGCTGTGCCTCCCATCAAGAGATGTGGTCTACATCCCCTTTTTCGAAACCCTGAAATCTGGTGAAGCTGTGCTGCTGGGACCACTAGAGTACAGTAGAAGTGACAAGGCATGACTTCTGAGGCCAGGTCATAAAAGTTCATGCAGCTTCCACTTTGGTTTCCTAGAATATTCCCTCTCAGGACTCAGGACTCTTTTTTTTTTTTTTTTTTTTTGAGACAGAGTCTCGCTCTGTTGCTCAGGCTGGAGTGCAGTGGCGCAATCTCACCTCACTGCAACCTCTGCCTCCCAGGTTCAAGTGATTCTCCTGTCTCAGCCTCCTGAGTAGCTGAGATTACAGGTGCCCGCCACCACGCCCAGCTAATTTTTTTGTATTTTTAATAGAGACGGGGTTTCACCATGTTTGCCAGGCTGGCCTCGAACTCCTGACCTCAGGTGATCCACCCGCCTTGGCCTCCCAAAGTGCTGGAATTACAGGCGTGAGCCACCGCACCGGGCCAGGACTCTCCTTTTTGAAACCCAGCTGACATGCAGTGAATTGCCCAAGCCACAAGGAGAGGCCATAATCCCACCTGAGCCCAACTTTCAACTCATCCGAATTCAGGCATCAGACATGTGAGAGAAGAAGCTTCCAGAAGATTCTTTCTCTGAACTCTTGTAGTCTTCCCAGTTGAGGCCCCAGACACTGTGCAGCAGAGAATAAACATCCCTGCTGTGCCCCGTCCAAGGTCCAAAGAATCCCTGAGCACAGTCAAGCGGCTGTTGTTTACACCACTACGTTCAGGGTGGTGGTTATGCAACAATAGTACCTGGAATAAAAGCAATTTCTCTTATAAAAATATACACATTTCTGGCCGGGCGCAGTGGCTCATGCCTATAATCCCAGCACTTTGGGAGGCCAAGACAGGCGGATCACCTGAGGTCAGGAGTTCCAGACCAGCCTGGCCAACATGGTGAAACCCTGTCTCTACTAAACATAAAAAATTAGCCAGGCATGGTGGCACGTGCCTGTAGTCCCAGCTACTCGGGAGGCTGAGGTAAGAGAATCGCTTGAACTCGGGAGGCGGAGGTTACAGTGAGCTGAGATCACGCCACTGCACTCCAGCCTGGGCGACAGAGCGAGACTCAGTTAAAAAAAAAAGTGTATATATATACACATTTTAAACCTTTTGACTATTTAGAAAATGCTAAATTAAATCACAGTGCTCGTAAATGTTGAGAAAAAAAACTACATTAAGACTTTATAGCTTAATACAAGAAGACATGTTGACTCAGAAATGACTTCCATGACACAGTGGGGAAGGTGTATGTCTGGGCTGCTACCTTGAACAATCTTACTGACATGTCTGCTTTAGATTGGGTTCCCTGGAAACCAACCCTCATTCAGAGAGTTGTGGCTCAAAGTTTTTGGGGAAGTGCTCTTAGAAGATGTGCCTGGAAGGCAGGTAAGAAGGCAGGACTGGGCAGAGGCAGAAATCGACCTTCAATGGCTGTCATTAAGGCCTCAGCTGATCCCACAGAATGCCCTAGAGCTGAGATGGCCCTTCAGATGTGTCCTAAGTAGGCTGGCTGTAGTGGCCTATGCCTGTAATCCCAGCACTTTGGGAGGCCGAGGCGGGGGCATCGTTTGAGCCCAGGAGCTCAAGACCATCTTGGGCAACATGATGAAACCCCATCTCTACTAAAAACGGAAAAATTAGCTGGGGGTGGTGGCA
Source organism: Homo sapiens (assembly GCF_000001405.40). Lineage (NCBI taxonomy): Eukaryota > Metazoa > Chordata > Mammalia > Primates > Hominidae > Homo > Homo sapiens. The sequence continues at coordinate 54,424,271 of NC_000001.11, read as the reverse complement.
TGCACCTGCAGTCCTACCTACTCGGGAAGCTGAGGTGGGAAGATCACCTGAGTCCAGGAGGTGGAGGTTGCAGTGAGCTGTGATTGTGCCACTGCACACCAGCCTGGGCTGCAAAGTGAGACTTTGTCTCAAAAAAAAAAAAGAAAAAAAGCTGCAGGGGCCGACACGGTGGCTCACATCTGTAATCCCAGTACTTTGGGAGGCTGAGGTGGGAGGATCACTTGAGGCCAGGAGTTCAAGACCAGCCTAGCCAACATGGTGAAACTCTATCTCTACCAAAAGTACAAAAATTAGCCAGGTGTGGTGGCACATGCCTGTATTCTCAGCTACTCTGGTGGCTGAGACAGGAGGATCACTTGAACCTGGGAGGTGGAGGCTGTAGTGAGCTGAGATCAAGCCACTGCACTCCAGCCTGGGTGACAGAGTGAGACTCGGTCTCAAAAAAAAAAAAAAAGGCTAAGTTGAAGCAAGGGCAGCCAGCTGGCCATTGCACCTCCACATTAGCCAGGCATGGGCCATGAGCCACCCGCTGGGAGGGGGCATAACCTTGAGTAAGGATCTCTGCAGCTGAGGAAATTCCTTGTGAGAGATACAGTTGGCGTTCAACCACAGCCAATATTCCAAGCAGCTTAGGATGGGTGGCTCAGCCAGAAGGGGATCTAGGCAGAGAATCAGAGTAGCCACTACAGTCCAACCCTTGCACTGCTCCTTTCCATTTGCTTCTGTGAAGTTTGACCCATTTGGGAATGGCTTCTCTAGGTTTCTGGTTGGGTTTGTTTCCTGTGAAACTCAAAAAAGAAGGGTTAGTGAGATGAACTGTAGAATTAGTTGCAGAAGTTGATCTCAAGACTGTAATAGATACTTGTTATCACACTCTTCTACTACCTGTCCTAGATTCCCCTTACCTTTTGCTAGCATTTCTTATTTTTTTTTTATTTTTTATTTTTTTGAGACAGAGTCTCGCTGTTATCACCCAGGCTGGGGTGCAGTGGTGTGACCTCAGCTGACTGGAACCTCTACCTCTGAGGTTCAAGTTGTTCTCCTGCCTCAGCCTCCCAAGTACCTGGGATTATAGGTGCCCACCATCATGCCTGGCAAATTTTTTTTTTTTTTTTTTTAGACAGAGTCTCACTCTGTTACCCAGGTTGGAGTGCAGTGGCGCCATCTCAGCTCACTGCAAGCTCCGCCTCCTGGGTTCACGCCATTCTCCTGCCTCAGCCTCCTGAGTAGCTGGGACTACAGGTGCCTGCCACCAAGCCTGGCTATTTTTTTTGTATTTTTAGTAGAGGCGGGGTTTCACCATGTTGGCCAGGCTGTTCTTGAACTCCTGACCTCATGATCCACCCTCCTCGGCCTCCCAAAGTGCTGGGATTACAGGCGTTAGCCACAGCACCCGGACTTGCTAGCATTTCTTCCGATTTGGGCAGTTTGTCTGGTGGAGATCCAGATCCTCAACCCTGAAGGGTCCAAGCCCCAGGTTACTGTGCCCTGCTTAAGCCATGGCTGCTTTACTTGTCCATGTACCAATAAAGCCAGGCACAGTAGCACCAGAAGACCCCCCAGTGCATCGCCTGAGCATGACTCATATTCATCTCTGTTCCTATTATTTAGCCACATACCCTACCTCCTACTGATGACCGGGGTAATTATCGCCAACATTATGGTGATTCCTTTCCTTGCTGATGGTCTCTTAGCTCAATACATTCAAAAGAATCAAGAAGCAGTCATAGTGTAAAATTCAAAGGAACTTCTACTGTGTCCCCAATGGAAATATTCCCCCTCTCGGAGCTCTAGATCTGCAGAGCTTTGTGTTGCAGGGATAGGAAGCTCCCCTTAAAGATGGTATAACTTTGGATAAAGTCATTCCCTGCAGCCAAAGGCAATTCCCAGGGAACAATGCTCCTGTGAACTGTTAGCAGCCAATACTTCCAGAAGCTGATGAGCGTGTTGGCCCTAGAGAGGACATCTTGGTGAATTACAACCCCAGTATCCACTGCAACATCTGAGATTCACTTTCCTAACCATAAAATGGGAATAACAATGGCTTATTGGCATGGTACTGGGAAGGAAATGAGATAAATGATAAATGAGATAATGTATGTTAAAAATTCTGGAAAAAAAATTCTGTAATCCCAGCACTTTGGGAGGCTGAGGCCGGTGGATCACCTGAGGTCAGGAGTTTGAGGCCAGCCTGGCCAACGTGGCAAAACTCCGTCTCTACTAAAAACACACACAAAAAAATTAGCCGGGTGTGGTAGTGCATGCCTGTAGTCCCAGCTACTCAGGAGGCTGAGGCAGGAGAATCGCTTGAACCTGGGAGGCGGAGGTTGCAGTGAACCGAGATTGTGCCACTGCACTCCAGCCTGGGCGGCAGAGCAAGACTCCATCTCAAAAAATAAAATAAAATAAAAATAAAAATTTTGGAATTGTAATCAACAAATGTTAGTTATGTCAAGAGCTCCATAAAGTGATCATGCTTCCTTTTTTGCCTTGGCCAGCAGGGAGCTTATAGCTTCATCTGGTGCACATTCACAGAAGATATACTGCTCATTTTCATTCTCTTCTTATTTCCTTGGTTCTCCTGGTTTCTTCTTCTTTTTTCTTTAATTAACCTTACACACAATCCTTTTGTTGCAATCTCTTTGAACTGGAATCATTTTTGCAGAGTGGCAGGGGATAAATAAATGCCTAGCAGAGGGACTTGCTGCTCTGAAGACAGTTCATTTTCCAAGAAGTAACAATGCCTCACCTAGAACACCGCCCCAGCACCTTGTTCAAACCTAGCCAAGCTTCACGACTGGGTCTTTGATTTGTTTTGGCATCTGCCAACCAACTGGCACCTAAGCGTGGGAATCCCTCCATGCAGAGGGTGACTCACAGCTCTGACAAGTTGGAAAAATACAAAGCAGGTACCAAAAATGGGCGGGGGGTGGTTAGTGTTATCAGGCACTCCCATCAGCCAAAGACACTGCTGGTAATCTTTATTCCTGCCCTCCTTCCAGACTTCCCACCCTTCTACCCACCCGCATATGGCTCAGTTAGTAGTCTCACCCTACTTTGGGAATTGAGCCATTTAGGGGACAGAGACATAGCAGAGAGATGAGAAGGTAGAGAGGGACTGGAGCATATGTGACCCAGATGTTATGGCTGAGCTTGGTCCTCCCACACCAGGCTGCCCATCGGGTTTGGCCCTGACCTCAAGGCATCTGGAGGACCCCGTCATGGAGTCAGAAGGCCCCAGATGGGCCAGCTGGGTTCTCTGCCTTGAGATCTCTTCACCATCTCCAGGCTAATCCTGTGAGCTCCCACCTCCCCCGCTTCTCTCCCTCCATAGGAGGCCTTGGAATGCCAGTGGGGTGCCATGTCTACTATTATTTCATGTAAGTATATAAGATGAACCACACTCATCAATAACACTTCCCTGGAAATCATGTTAGCAAGCATGCTTGCTGAGGGGTTTCAAATGTCCCACTGTTCACGGCTTTTGGCTCCATCACCAGTTGTGGTTCCATGGCATGTTCAGGAGTAGGAAGAGCTTGAGATGTCCAGTGTTGAGTTTCCCAGGGCAGGGGTCTTGTTCTTGCAATCACATCTTTGTCTAGTAAGAACAAGCACATGAGCGTGTTCACGGAACCCTTATGGGCTGGGACTTGGATTTCAGGTTCTGGGGGCTCTGGAAGGGAGAGAGAAGGTCAAAACAGTGATGACGCTGGGTAAGAGGCTGGAGTTGGGATGTGTAGATTCCAATCCTAGCCTTGCTGCCTACTAGCTGGGTAACCTGGTAAATTGCTCTTCTTCCTCTCCAAGCCTCAGCTTCTCCCCTGGAAAATGGGTGACATAATACCCACCTTTAGGGTTGTTGTGACTGCCAATAAAACAGCATTTTATTGGTACAGTGGCTCACGTCTGTAATCCCAGCAATTTGGGAGGCCGAGGCCGGTGGATCACTTGAGGTCAGGAGTTCGAAACCAGCCTGGCCAACATGGTGTAACCCCGTCTCTACTAAAAATGCAAAGATTAGCCGGGTGTGGTGACACATGCCTGTAGTCCCAGCTACTTGGGAGGCTCAGGTAGGAAAATCGCTTGAACCTGGGAGGTGGAGGTTACAGTGAGCCAAGATCTCGCCACTGCACTCCAGCCTGGGCGACAGAGCAAGACTCCATTTCAAAAATAATAATAATGATAATAATAATAATATTTAGAGGCTGGGTGCAGTGGCTTATGCGTATAATCCCAACACTTTGGGAGGCTGAGGCTGGGGGATGGCTTGAGGCCAGGAGTTTGAGACCAGTCTGGGCAACATAGTGAGACTCTTCATCTCTTCTGTTTTTCTTTTCCTTTTCTTTTTCTTTTTTTTTTTTTGAGACAGAGTCTCGCTCTGTGGCCCAGGCTGGAGTGCAGTGGCACGATCTCGGCTCGCTGCAAGCTCCACCTCCTGGGCTCATGCCATTCTCCTGCCTCAGCCTCCCAAGTAGCTGGGACTATAGGCGCCCGCCACGATGCCCGGCTAATTTTTTGTATTTTTAGTAGAGACGGGGTTTCACCATGTTAGCCAGGATGGTCTCGATTTCCTGACCTCGCGATCTGCCTGCCTCGGCCTCCACAAGTGCTGGGATTACAGGCGTGAACCACTGCGCCTGGCCTCTTTTTCTTTTTTTTAGAGCTAGAGTCTCACTCTGTTGCCCAGGCTGAAGTGCAGTGGTCTGATCTCGGCTCACTGCCATCTCTGCCCCCCATGTTCAAGCCATTTGCCTGTCTCAGCCTCCTGAGTAGCTGGGACTACAGGCGCATGCCGCCATGCTTGGCCATATATATATATATATATATATATATGTGTGTGTGTGTGTGTGTGTGTGTGTATATGTGTGTGTGTGTGTGTGTGTGTGTGTGTGTGTATATATATTATTAATTTTTTTTTTTTAGAAGAGACAGGGTTTCACTATGTTGGCCAGGCTGGTCTTGAACTCCTGACCTCAAATGATCTGCCCACATTGGCCTCCCAAAGTCCTGGGATTATAGGCATGAGCCACCGTGGCCAGCCTCTATTTTTTTTTTTTTTAAGAAAGAAGTAAAAAGAATTGAAAAAAAAAGATAACATTAAGAAAACTAGCACCTTTTGGCTGGGTGTGGTGGCTCACGCCTGTAATCCCAACACTTTGGGAGGCCGAGGTGGGCGGATCACAAGGTCAGGAGATCGAGACCATCCTGGCCAACATGGTGAAACCCTGTCTCTACTAAAAATACAAAAATTAGCTGGGCATGCTGGTGTGTGCCTGTAATCTCAGCTACTCAGGAGGCTGAGGCAGGAAAATCGCTTGAACCTGGGAGGCAGAGGTTGCAGTGAGCTGAGATCACGCCACTGAACTCCAGCCTGGTGACATAGCAAGACTCTATCTCAAAAAAAAAAAAAAGAAGACTAGTACCTTTTACCATTTCCTGATCAAACACCAGGCTAGGTACTTGGCCAAGCATTTTATAGCTATTGTCGCTTTTATTACTTTATTTATTTATTTATTTGAGACAGAGTCTTGCTTTGTTGCCCTGGCTGAAGTGCAGTGGTACAATCTCAGCTCACGACAACCACTCCCTCCTGGGTTCAAGTGATCTTCCTGTCTCAGCCATCCGACTAGCTGGGACTACAGGTGCACGCCACCATGCCTGGCTAATTTTTGTATTTTTTTTACTAGAGACGGGCTTTCACCATGTTGGCCAGGCTGGTCTCAAGCTCCTAACCTGAAGTGATCCACCCGCCTCAGCCTCCTAAAGTGCCGGGTTTACAGGCGTGAGCTACCATGCCTGGCCTTATTTATTTTTTATTATTTATTTATTTATTTATTTTGAGATGGAGTCTTGCTCTGTTGCCCAGGCTGAGTGCAGTGGCACGATTTCGGCTCACTGCAACCTCCGCCTCCCGGGTTCAAGGGATTCTCCTGCCTCAGCCTCCCAAGTAGCTGGGATTACGGGCATGTGACACCACGCCTGGCTAATTTTTTTGTATTTAGTAGAGGTGGGGTTTCACCATGTTAGTCAGGCTGCTTTCGAACTCCTGACCTCAAGTGATCCACCCACTTTGGCCTCCCAAAGTGCAGGGATTACAGGTGTGAGCCACCACACCCAGCATTTATTTCTTAAAATTATTTTTTAAAAAGAGAGAGAGATGAGGTCTTGCAGGCTGGTTTGTGATCCTCCCATCTCAGCCTCCCAAAGTGCTGGGATTACAGGCATGAGATACCATGCCCAGCCCCCAGAGAAGAAACTTTTAGACAGGTCCCTGAAGAAGTGTGATGGTGACTAGGGTCACACCAAGGCAATGAGTGGCTGGTGTCAGAAACATTTCCTAGCACAGATAATTGAAAGAGGCAGTCCTTTGGCCTTGGGGTCCTTCTGTTCAGGGAGGGGCACTGAGCAGAGGGTAACAGTGACTCAGGAGCCAGCTGAAAGCATGAAAAACAAGTTGCTGGCCAGGCGCGGTGGCTCACGCCTGTAATCCCAGCACTTTGGGAGGCCAAGGCAGGTGGATCACGAGGTCAGGAGATGGAGACCATCCTGGCTAACACGGTGAAACCCTGTCTCTACTAAAAAAAAAATACACAAAAAATTAGCCGGGCATGGTGGCGGGTGCCTGTAGTCCCAGCTACTCGGGAGGCTGAGGCAGGAGAATGGCGTGAACCCGGAAGGCAGAGCTTGCAGTGAGCCGAGATGGGGCCACTGCACTCCAGCCTGGGCGACACAGCAAGACTCCGTCTAAAAAAAAAAAAAAGAAACAAGTTGCTGACTGCCCGGTTTTGCTGTGGGCTGCCCAATGCCTTGTCCTGTTTATAACGGTAATTTGGGGAAGTGGGGGAGTGTGTATGGGCGACTCTCTGAGGGTTGGAGCTGAAGGCTTGAAGTTAGGTTTCCTAAACCCACATCAACCTAGGAAACGTTTGTGGGAAGGAATGTTGCAGATGGTTTTCTGTGTGTGTGTGTGCATGTGTTCAAGAGAGGCCAGCAGCAACAGAGAGGCAGAACAGTGAGAGAGGGACAGCGAGAATGAGAGGGACTGAGCAAAGAGGAGAGAGACAAAGAAAGGAAAGGAGAAAGAGAAACAGAAGTCAAAAGATACACAAACAGTAGATGAGGCCAGGAGAGAGGACAAGAGAGGAGGACAGAGATACGCAAGAAGGCGGGGAAGAGAGAAAAACAGAAAAGAGAGAATTCATTTGACAAATGCTTGCTGAACACCTACTAAGTGCCAGGTGCCATTCCAGGCATTGAGGATAAAACAAAGGACAAAACAGACAAAATCTCTGTCCTTGTGGGTCTTTCCAGTGGGAGAATGGAGAACCTCAGAGAGATGGTAAAAATTCAAAGAAGCCCACAGAAAGAGACTGAGGGACAAGTGTTCAGAAAGACCCAGAGACAGAAATAAGCTAAGACACAGAGACAGAAGAGGCTGAGACATGTAAAGACGCAGAGAGACAGAGGCACAGCAGAGAGACGAGAACGTGGGAGCCCCAGGAGCAGAAGCAGAGGGCCAGCATTCTAGAGGGGGTGAGAGCCACAGCCCAAGGGCGCTGCTGGAGAAGCTCTTTTCCTGCCAGCCTGCTCAGCGCCACAGCACTAGTGCTCCTGGGTGACCGGTGCTCTCTCATTCCCTCCTCCCAGCGTCCTCTTCAAGCTCCCAATCTAACCACTGCCACTCCCTGTACTCACTGCCCTGGACTCTCTTGCACTGGGCTGGAAGGATCCTGAGGTGCTCAACAAGCATTTGTTGACTTCAGGAACTACGGCCTCATCATATGGATGGGTAAACTGAGGCCCAGGCTAACAGTTCAGGATGGCTTCCTGGGCCTCCTGGGTTGGAAGCAGTGCCAGATAAAGGACAGAGCATTCAACTGGGAGCTAGGACCCTTATGGTGAGGTGGAGGGTGGGTGCTCTCAGAGGTTTCTGCCACCTCCACAACTGTGGAGCCTATGAATCATGTGAGAGTAAGTTTTGGAAGAGACCTGTATTTGAAAGCTGGGACTTTGACGTTTGCCGATGTCTGTTTCCGTGGAAACAGGAATCAGAATCACAGAACAAGCCTGCGAGCTCTGCTCCGGGTGCCCCAGATTGCTAGGGTGAGAGGGCCGCTGACTGGCACACTCCATGTGTCATCCGCATGTCTCTGGAGTCCTCTCAACCCCCAGCACGGGCTGACGGGGGAAGGAAGCAGGGCTGGAGCCCCTGTAGGAGGGGTGGCTAGATGGGAAGTTTTGAACACAGGGCTCCACAGAGGGAATAACCAACCTTTACTGAGCACTCTTTGGGCATCTAGTGCTGATCTCTGTATCCCCACCCATGCGGTGTCGGGTACGCGGATGGAATGGAATGAGTGGCTCAGATGAAGAAACCTTGCCATTTCCAGCACACTCATCCTCAGGATGAAATTACTCTGTTATGCTTTGCCACAAAACATGGATCCTTCATTTATTCGGCACACATGTAAGCCAAGTACCGGGCAACACAGAGGTTAACAGGAACCTGTTCTTGGCATCCCTCAGCATCCACAGGTGTCCAGGCTGGGTCCTGAGTTCACAGATGCTCATGAATTCCTACATGAAGCTGCAAGAGCTTCCTGGTCACCTTCCAGCCTCATCTATCACCACTTCCTCCTGAGCCCCATGTGCACCCCCTGAACCCACCATTGCTCTAATATGTTGGCTGTCTCATGCCTCTGTGCCTTTGTCCATGCTGTTCCCATGGTCTGGGATCCCTTTACCTCTGCTGGCCTGCCTAGCAAACTCCTACTCATCCTTTAAAGCCACAGCTCCAAGCCTGTTTCCCCTGGACAGCCTCATCTCCTAGACTGTGAGCGCCTCGATGGTGCAGGCTGAGTCCCTCCATGTCTGTGTGCCCAGAGAGGTGAAGGCACTTTTCCAACCCTACTGAGGCCACTCTCCTCCCTCTTCTTAGGGACTCCATGCTAGCTTCACCCTCAACCTCCATCTAGTTCCTCCAGCCTTGCCCTCTGCATGGACTCCCTGCAATCAGCATTTGTGCAGGTTCTAGTGTCTCCCACTTTCCAGCAAAACACAGCAACACTCTTACCTGTGGGTGCTGGCTGTCTCTTACCCCAAGAGTTATCCACACTTGCTGTCTCCTCTCTCCCTCCCACTCCTCCACGGCATTCTCTCTCCTCTGCCTCCCTTCCACTCCTCCACTGCCGGGGTCTGGCTCCAGCCTCATCACTCCCCTAAAACTGCTCTACGTGGCCGGGCGTGGTGGCTCACGCCTGTAATCCCAGCACTTTGGGAGGCTGAGGTGGGTGGATCACCTGAGGTCAGGAGTTTGAGACCAGCCTGATTAACATCATGAAACCCCATCTCTACTAAAAATAACAAAAATCAGCTGGGCGTGGTGGCAGGTGCCTGTAGTCCCAGCTACGCGGGGGGCTGAGACAGGAGAACTGCTTGAACCCGGAAGGCAGAGGTTACAGTGAGCCGAGATCGCGCCACTGCACTACAGCTTGGGAAACAGAGGGAGACTCCGTCTTAAAAAAAATAGTAATACTGCTCTACACCGGCCAACTGTGCCCTTCACAGAGCTCTTTCCAAAAGCCGTGTTCATGCTCTCCGTTGCTCGGCCACTCTCTCCTGGAAGCGCTGTCTTCCCGGGGCTGCCTCCTCCTCTGCGGCTCTGAACAGTCCTCCTTGGTCTCCTTCACTGGCTCCTCCTGCATCAGCCCTGCTGGTAAACCTAGGAGCCTGTCCCTAGCTTCCCCCTGAGAGCACTCATCCATTCCCATTACAGCCAGAGGAAGGAAGGTCACCTCCTCCAGCTGCCTTCCTTGACACCCTGGGGCAGCCTAGCGCCCCTGCACTGTGCCCACGGGGGCCTATGTGTTCCATCACCACCCTTGTCACGTTGGATCTTGTAGGTACTAATGGAGTCATCTGCTTCCCCACAGGTGACAAACCTCCAGGAAGCAGGGACCACAGCTCTCTTGTTCACACATCCATCCCCCACATCCAGGACAATCCCCAACAAGCAACGGGCTGTGAAGGGAGATAGGGTCAGATCATGAAGGACCTTGAATCTTTTTGCTGCAGAATTTGGGCTTCATTTTGGATAAAATGGCGATTCCCCAAAGGGTTTTAAGCAGGAGCGTGACATGGTCAGACCTGTGCCTTAAACACATCCCTCTGGCTGGGGAAGGGAGGGTGAAGGGGAGTGTTCTGAAGGCAGGGAGACCAGTTAGGGGCTGTGCAACAATTCAGGGCTGGACCCAACCATCTCTACCACACACCATGGGGCCGGTCTCTGCTTCTCCTCTTTCTCACTCCCAGCCAGTGCCAAGCTTGGCCAGCTGGATCTGGTAAACACGGCACCTTCTGTGTGCTCTCCTCACCTGATAGAACGGTGTTGGTGCCGGGTACAGAAATGGAGATTGACTACAGGAATTGGATGGGGAGAAATAATGAGGCCAGCTCTGGACACATGGACTTTGAGGCACCAGAGAGACAGGCAGATGGAAATGCTCTGTAACTGAACACACATGGCTTTGGGGCTAAGAAAAAGGGTCTGCGCCAGTGGGATGGATTCAGGAGTCATTGTCATTGAAGTTCAGATGCAATTAGTGCCATGTGAACTTGCCCAAAGAGAGAGAGAAGGTCCAGGACAGAGCCTGAGAGAAGCCCATCTGTCCTAGATTTTACTACTGTTCAGCAAACATTCACTCCCCCTTCCTGCCCCATTGATGCTGGGCTTGGCCATGTGACTTGGGAGCGGATGTGAGGCTTGCGTGAGTTGGCCTGGCCTCTGGAGCTCCTTTTACTCTGGAAAGAACATGACAGACATCCTCTGCCCTTCAGCCTGTGCCCCAGAATGAGAGACCCATGGGACAGACTCAAGCTGTACCCTGAAGCAGAGCTGCCCAGTTGACTGCAGACCTGTGAGTGAGAAATAAATGGCTTTTATTATAAGCCACTGAGATTTGGGGGCTGTGTGTTAGGTAACACTGTATCAGCAATAGTTTGACTAATAAAATTTTTAGAGGAGGCTGGAGAAAAAAGAATCCGTTAAAGGATAACAGGAAGAATAGCCCGAGAGGAAGAGGGAAAACCAGGAGAGAGTGGAGCCCTGAAGCTGTGTGAGGAGAGGGTTTCAGGAGCATGGGAACCTCTGATGCTCAGACAGGGGTGTGCTGCGCCATTCTGCACCATGTCCGTAAGTCTTTCCCACATGTGATGCTTGGGTCATCACCCATCTCTTTTTAGTTTTTTAAAAAATTGCAGGCCAGGCGCGGTGGCTCACACCTGTAATCCCAGCACTTTGGGAGGCTGAGGTGGGTGGATCACGAGGTCAGGAGTTTTGAGACCAGCCTGGCTAACATGTTGAAACTCTGTCTCTACTAAAAATACAAAAATTAGCTGGGCGTGGTGGCGTGCACCTGTAATCCCAGCTACCCAGGAGGCTGAGGCAAGAGAATCACTGGAACTCGTGAGACAGAGGCTGCAGTGAGCTGAGATCGCGCCACTGCACTCCAAACGGAGCGACACAGCAAGACTCTGTCTCAAAAAAAAATATTGCAGTAAAATATATATAACAAAATTTACCATTGTAACTCTTTTATAGCGTACACTTCAGTGGCATTGAGTGTATTCACATTATTGTGTAACCAATGGAATCATCATCCATTTCCAGATCTTTTTCATCTTCCCAAACTGAAGCTCTATTATCATTAAACGCTAACTCCCCACTCCCTCCTTCCCCAGGCTCTGGCAACCACCTTTCTACTCTGTCTCTCTGAATTTGACTATTCTAGGTACTTCATATGACCGGAATCGTAGAGTATTTGTCCTTTTGGGTCTGGCTGATTTCATTTAGCATAATGTCTTCAACGTTCATCCATGCTATAGACTGTATCAGAACTGCATTCCTTTATTATTTATTTAATTTATTTATTTTTAAATTTTTTTGAGACAGAGTTTCGTTCTGTCGCCCTGGCTGGAGTGCAGTGGCATGATCTCGGCTCACTGCAATCTCCACCTCCTGGGTTCAAGCGATTCTTCTGCCTCAGCCTCCTGAGTAGCTGGGACTACAGGCACAGGCCACCACGCCTGGCCGAGGGCAGCTGTCATTCTAAAGAGGTTCCTTTGGGAGGGGCTCTGGTGATTTGACCTGGAGGAAATGAGGTGGGAGTGAAGCCTTTACCTTGGAGAAGAGTGACCAGCAAGAGCAAAGTTTTGGCAAGTGAATGAAAATAGAGCCATGCTGGTCCCAGGCTGAGAGAACTCAGAGGCTAGGGCACTCTGGTGAGTCTGGTGAGGTGGAGTTGGGGGAGTGGTGGGTGTCAGGTTCCTCTCCCCAGCTACCAGGATAGGGCCTTGCCTTCTGCTTTTTTTTTTTTTTTTTTGAGACGGAGTCTCGCTCTGTCCCCCAGGCTGGAGTGCAGTGACGCCATCTCGGCTCACTGCAAGCTCCGCCTCCTGTGTTCATGCCTTTCTCCTGCCTCAGCCTCCTGAGTAGCTGGGACTGCAGGCGCCCGCCACCATGCCCAGCTAATTTTTTGTATTTTTAGTAGAGACGGGGTTTCACTGTGTTAGCCAGGATGGTCTCGATTTCCTGACCTCGCGATCTGCCTGCCTCGGCCTCCACAAGTGCCGGGATTACAGGCGTGAACCACCGCGCCCGGCAGCCTTCTGCTTTCTTGTACTTCCCAGCGTCCCTGGCTCAAGTGATCCTCCCGCCGCGGACTCCCAAAGTGCTGGGATTACAGGCATGAGCCACCATGGCCTGTCAGAGTACTTAAATTCTTTTTTTTTTTTTCAAGACAGAGTATTGTTCTGTCGCTCATGATGGAGTGCAGTGGTGCGAGCTCGGCTCACTGCAACCCCCGCCTCCTGGGTTCAAGCGATTCTCCTGCCCCAGCCACCCGAGTAGCTGAGATTACAGGCACATGCCACCATGCCCGGCTAATTTTTCTATTCTTAGTAGAGACGGGGTTTCACCATGTTGGCCGGGCTGGTCTCGAACTCTTGACCTCATGATCTGCCTGCCTTGGCAGCCCAAAGTGCTGAGATTACAGGTGTGAGCCACCGTGCCTAGCTCAAATGCTTAAATTCTTATGAAGGAAATAGGTAGGAAAAAAACAAAACAAAACAAGGCTGAGCACATGGGTGCTTTCAAATTGAACTAACCGATTCTATACTAACCCATTCCATACTTGAAGCCTGTTTTGCTATGACAAATTGGCTCAGGAGAAGTATGTGTCCGTTGGAAGACATTTCAAAACACATTTGATTTTAAATTTAAATCCACTTCTTTCTTAGCACCTCTCTGTTTGCTGGCCATGAGTAATCATCTTTTTCAATTTTCGAAACATTTCCCCAATTACTGTCTCCCCTGAGCCCCCAAACACCCATCCCAAGCGGCTACTCTCCATCATCAGAACCTTGGGCTCAGCCAACACTGACTAATAGCCTAGTAGGCGATTCCCCATCACTTACCTCTCTTTGTCCTCCCAGCCTGCCTTTGGCATAGGCATTAACATACTCATTGCACAGAGAGGACGGTGAGGCTCAGAGGGGAAGGTCACTTGCCCAAAGTCTGCCAGCAAGGCAGTGAAGCCAGGTCTTTGCGTGTTGGATTTTGTATTCCCCCTGTGGAGGCCCCCGATCCCTCAGGGAAACTTCTGCTAAAACCAGAGCTGACCGGCCCGAAGGTTTTGATCAGAGGTATCCCCGTGCAATTCTAGGACTGAGCGTGCCGGGTGCAGAAGTGGGCTGCATACTCAGCTTCCACTGAAACAGCCCCCAGCGGGAGCTTGCATCCATCCTCCTAGCAGCTGTGAGGAGCACTGAAAGAGAGCTTTGAACCAGGGAAAGGGAACAAGGTCTTCTGGCATCCTTGGCAAGCACAGTCTCCTGGGTTGAGTTCATGGGCCTAAAGTCCCTTTTCCTTTAACCACCTCCTTCTGGAGGCCTGGACCCCAACCATCTGGTGCCAGAACCCAGGATTCCTGCTGCCCCAGTTGCTGGCAGCCAAGAGAGGAAGGAGCGGCCCTTCTAGCCTAAGCTTGGAATTCACCTCTCCGTCTTCACTCCCACCTCACTTGCATGTCCTGCAACATCTGGTCACCCAGTTCATCTGTCCTTCTGTTCCTTTCACCATGTTACTGGGCACTGAGGGTACCCCAGAAAATGATGATCATTCCCTGACCCTAAGGAGTCATATTCCCATGGGGAAAATGCACCCCTGAACCACACCCATGCAGTGGGGACACAGAGGGCACACCTGCCCCGAACTGGGAGTTCAGAGGGGGGATCTGGGAAGGCTCTCTGAAGGAGATGCTGCCTGCCCAGGCTGGATCTGAGAAGTGTTAGTGGGAGTCTGTCACCGGAGGGGGCTTTGGGCAGGGGACTTCACTACAGTGTAAGTTCCACGGGGTAAGGATTTTTGTCTGGTTTATCTCCCAAGGCCTAGAACAGCGTATGGTATATAGCAGGCGTTCAATAAGCAGGTCCTAAAAGAAAGAAGGAAAAGAAAAAAAGGAAGGGAGGGAGGCAAGAGAAAGATGGGGGACAGAGAGACAGAGAGAATATGAGTCAGGGTGGATGTGTGAAATGGCATAGCCATTCTGGAAACTGAAAGTACAGAGTTCCAGGTGTCTGTAGTTTAGGAGGGTGTGGCTGAGCCGAGGGAGTGGCCTTATCTAACCCTATTGTTGGTGGTATCCATTCCTTATCTCCCTACTGGGCCCAGTACTTTGGGGCTGGGGTGAGTTTTCCCTCTCTCTCTCGGTCCCTGGGGGCTCCTGGTGCCTGCACTGAGTGTTAACATACACAGGTATTGAGCCTGCGCTGTGTGCTGGAGATACACAGATAACTCAAACTGAGATCCTACCCTCCCAGTCTGGTGGGGGAGACAGACAGTAAACAAGTGGCTACAACAATGGGGAGAATGAATGGTGCCAGCAAAACGAGATAAGATTGGAGGGACAGAAGGACAGGTTTCACTCCAGGAGTGAGAAGCAGGGAGGTTTTTGTGGAGGAGATGGCACTGGAGGGAGGGGATGTTAGCCTTAAAGGATGGTAGAAGAAGGGAACTGAGGCAGGAAGCATTCCAGGAAGACAGACTTCAGGCCCAAAGATGTGGCCTGGGGGGATCCAGAGGGGAAAGGTAGACTGGGGCCTTGAATGCTGTTCATGGGTGTTTGGACTTGCTTCTGATCTGACCACATTTTGGATAATTGTGCCAGCAGCCACACACCTACTTAGGGCTGCTGAGTGGTCCTGCTTCCAGGGAACCCCTCAGCAATCTTCTAGCCAGCAGGGGTGAGGGGTGGCTAAGACACTCTCCCTGCTCTCTCTGCCCGGGCCCTCTCACCATCTCTTTTAGCTCCAACAAGGGATCTACCAACCATCGTGCAGCTTTGTTGTGTCAAGTTCCAGCAAAGGGCTGACCACAGAGTGCCTGGCACAGGATCTCTGAACCCTACCCCTCTCTTCTTGCCACATGTTTGGAAAGGAGGTGCTAGTCCTTTTTCCAGGGTGGTGGTAGGGAGAGAAAAATATAGGAGGGAAATTTTAACATTGTAGCACATCAGATTATCAAGAGATACTGTATATCTTCTAACCTCCCTTTGCCATTTGACAGGTGAAGAAACTGATGCTCAAATAGATATGCTTGTGTTGCAGCCATGAAGTTGATAAGGGCATGGCCAATCTGGTTGAGTCCTGGGTCATAGCAGGGCCGGAGAAGGGCAGTGTCTTCCTTTTTTTAGCCAGGACCAAACCGATACTCCTAATTTGTGGGCCTTGCAGACACAAGATGAGTCAGGCTTCTTGTGAGTCAGTCTGTTGACAAGCCATCCCTGGCCATTCCTAGCCCATTCAAAATAGAAGGAAGTCCAGGGCAAGGGTATGAGCAGGCCAATTTAATTAGTGTGGGCTCTAAGGTACCTTAAGTTAGCCCTATTAAATTAAACCGCCTAGGGGAAAAAATAACTGTAATTATTTCCTTCTCTCCCCTATCCTTGTATTCCAACTCCCAACCTCCATGCTTCCCTCATTCACGAAACAACCTTTAAAATAGGGACTAGCGCACAGACGCCCATAAACTAGGTCTCAGCGTTCCTTTTTTCTGCCCCTTTCCCCTGTGAGCGCTGGGTCCTGGAAGGGAGCAGAGTGAGTCCAGAGGTGTCCGCAGGGCCTGGCTGTACTCTAATTTAGGGAGGTTGTTACATTGAGTAGAACATTATTCCAAAAATGCACCCAGAGTCTCCTTCCTGAACCAATGCAGATTCTTTTGCTGCGGGGCATTTCTTTTAAAAGCCCCTTTTCTCTCTTCTACAGATCAAAATAAGCAAACTTTAATGGTAGGGAATTATTGTTTATTTTGTTGAAATCTAGTTCTGAGTTTTCCTACTTGAAACGTGTTTTCCCCAGGACACTGACCTATCCTTTAATTGTTTGGTGCGAGGCATGTTAGGGGGAGGGGCGTTACTTGTTTATTGGAACAGCGCAGTTAAAAAAAAAAAAAAAAAAAAAAAAAAAATCAACCTAGGCTAACAGTTTCAAGGCTCCCCTAAAGATGTATCCAAACAGGCAGCCAATCAGCGCTTACACAGCTTTTTCTGCTTGACTCTTTTAAAGAGACAGTGCCGACAGTGTTTTATCACATTTAAAGAGATCCGCTCTCTAAAAACAGTCTGAAAATGGGGGAGCCTTCCCCTATTTCGCCGGTATCTGGTCTTAAGAGTCCCTAATGAGGGGCACGCAGTGTGTCTTCTGGGTTCTCGGCGTGGGCAGAAAGGAGTCAGCAGCAAATAGCTGGGTCACTCTGCCAGCCCCCCCCTCAATTTCCCATTGTACACCTGGGTCACTGACAATGGAAGCTTCCCCTCCCCCTACGCCTGACTCTCGTCCCCTCACTCCCCAATTTAGCTCCATTTATTTGAAGTTTGCAGATTTCTGTGGCGAGCATTCCGCGTCGCGGGCCGCCCAGGTGACGCCCCCCATCTCCGAGTGGCACCCTTTCCCGTGCAGAAGCCGAGGGGCTAACTTGCCAAGACTGGCAAACCTTGGAAATTTGGGAGAAATCACTCTCCCTCCTCTTAATTCAAGTCCCCTGTCCCCAGCCCCCCTCCCCCCCGGCTCCCCAAAGCACGCCAAGGGCCATTTTCGCGCGGCTCCACTTTGGGGTTTTCCAAAGTATTTTAATGATCTAGTAAAGGAGCAGCCGCGCGCCTCGGCGCCGGCTCGAGCCGCCCAGCTCTCAGCGTGGAGCCCCGGGCCCGGCGCTCGGAAGCCAGACTGGGCGAGAGGGAGGCCCGGGGGCGGGGCGGGCTGGGGGCCGGGCTGGAGTCTGGGGAGGGGGTCGGGGTCGGAGCCTAGGGGGAGGACAACCAAGAGCGGAGGGCGAGATAAGGGCTGGGCTGGTGCGGGCCGCGGCGGGGGGGAGCTGAGGGGCAGATAAGGGAGAGGGACGGGGCGGGAGGGAGCGAGCGGCGACCGCTTGGGGGTCTGCGCCCCCTCCCATCGGACGCTGCCGCAGCGCCCCCCTAGCCCCCCAGTGGTCCACGCCGCGGGGAGCGCGGGTCAGATCCCCCTCCTCGCTGGGGCGAGGAGACCAGGGTGCCCCCAGCCCGATCCACGTCGCCCACCGCCCCGGCGACAGAAAGAGAGGCTCGCGCCCCCGGACGCCCCCAGTTCGCCTGCAGGAGCAGGCAGCGGCTCCGCGGAGGCGGCCGCAGCGGGGACTGCCGCGGCCGGCGCTGTCAGGGCGTCCCTCCCAGCCGGCCCGGGCCCGCCCCCGCGTGCGCCGATTGGCCGAGGCGGCCATCCATCGCGGGACGTTGCCGCCCGCCTCGCTCCCTCGCCCGGGTAGCCACGTTCGGTTGAGCTCCAAGTAGACCAGCGGCGGCGGCGGCGGCGGCGGCGGCAGCGGTGCTGGAGGCGCAGAGGGCGGCGCAGGCGGAGCCGGGCGGGCGCGCGAGCGAGCGGAGAGCGGGCGGCCGTGCGGGCGGCGGCGGCGGCACCCCCAGGCCGAGCCGGCGCGGAAGGAGTTCCAGGGCGATGGGGCCGCGGCCGGGGCTGACGCTTTGACAGCTGGAAAGAGCGCGGAGCCAGCGCCTGGGGGGGAGGGAGGGGAGCGCGGCGAGGAGAGCGCCAGCGAGCGAGAGAGCGAGCGAGCGCCGGGGAGGGGGCCGGGAGCGAGGGGCAGCTCGGGAGAGCCGGAGCGGTAGCGGCGGCGGCGGCGGCGGCGGCGAGGCTCGGCGCCCTCTTCCCTGCAAACCATGTTTGCCAAAGGCAAAGGCTCGGCGGTGCCCTCGGATGGGCAGGCTCGGGAAAAGTAAGCCCTATTTTGCAAGTGGCGGCCGCGCCGCCGCCGGGCTGCGGGCGGGCGGGCGGTGGGAGGCAGGTGGGCGGGCGGGCGGGGGCCGGAGGCTGCTGCGCCCTCGGGTCCCCGGGTCCAGGCGCCGCCTGCCTGGCCCCTTCCCCGAGGCCGCGGCGGGCGGCGTGGGAGAGCCCATTGTTGGGAGCCGGCGGAGGTTGGGGGATCGGGGAAGGGGCGGTGGGGGGAGCCGCCGGAGGGGGTACTTGGTGGCCGTGGCGCGGGTCGAGCGCGGGGGCCCGCGGTGAGTGGTGGGCGAGGTCCCGCCAGCGAGCCTCGACGTTCTCCCCAGCCGGGCGCTCCCCGCGGTGGCCGCACTTTGCCCACCGGGTGCGGGCAGGGGGCGCGTGGCTTCTGCAGCCCCGAAGCCTCCTTTTGTCCGCCCGCGGCGTGAGGAGTGCGTGCCGGGGGCTTTGTTCGGCCGGGAGCGCTCTCCCTTCCCTGTCCTCGGCTTCGTCACCGGCTCCGCGTCCTCGGACGCCGGGCTGGGCAGCGACGGTGGTGCCGGCTTGGCCCCAGGCTTGGGGCACAGTTGTTTGGGGGGAGGTGACGAGGGTGGCGCTTTGCTGCCCTCTCCAGAGCGCGCCAAGCACCCGGAGTCCAGGGCCGAGTCTCCTCGGACCTCCAAAGCTGGCGAGAGCGTAGCGAGCAGTGGGTCGGGAAAGGCAAGGTGGCTGTGGGGTCGAGTGGCTTGCGAGTTTGAGGAACCTAGGTGGGTTTGCCCGCGACGCCACTTGGAAGTTCAAGTTTGGGGGCTGCTCTCCATCCCTCACCGCTTGAGGTAACGCGTTCCCTGGTCCCCACCCCCTAACTGTTCGCACCTGGCGGCCCTGTTTGGGGTGAGCTAGCTGCTTACCTCTGGTCGGGGCCACAATGGGACGGCGCAGACAGGGCTCAAAGCCTGCTGGCAAGGTCCTGGAGAGCGCCGGTGGGATCTGACGCCTTTCCCTCTCTCTCTTTGCCCCCTGTCCACTTTCCAGGTTAGCTTTATACGTCTACGAATATTTACTGCACGTAGGAGCACAGAAATCTGCACAGACCTTCTTATCGGAGGTGAGTGGGACTCCCCCCAGCATCCAATTTCTTGACACCCCCCCCCCCCACTATTCTTAGAGCCTTTGTTTTCAGGAGCAGCCACTGTGGCCACCATTTTGAATTTTTATCACCTTTTGGCATTTATTGTTAGTTGGTCTTCCTAGCCTTTTGGCTCTGGGAAGCCCCCAGCCCACCCCGTCTCTGCTCCTCTAAGCTGCTTCTGCTCTTACCTTTCCAGATTCGATGGGAAAAAAACATCACGTTGGGAGAACCGCCTGGGTTTTTGCACTCGTGGTGGTGGTAAGTTTGTGTGATAGTTTTGCATGTGTGTTTGTTTTGTTGTGAGCCCTGGGTCCAAGTGAACAAAGAAGGGAGGCTTGGAGCAGGCCCTCCGCCCTGTGGCCCTCTGCGTTGCACAGAGCGGGGCACCTCGAGGCACTCCGGCCCAGCTGGCCAAGGAGGAGAAGGGCGGAAGAGGATGTTACCTAAAGTTTTGGGGGGAAAAACGACAAAACCATCTGTGGTGTTGGGGTAGAAACTCCTTACTTTTACATTTCACTCTGGGGCTCTAGGCAGGGGGTTTGAAAAAACATTGGAGGATTTTTGTCAATTCTGCATGTTGCTTTAATTAGAGGAGTGGGGGTGGGGCGGCGTGGAGGGGATACCAGGTCTGTTTTACAACTAGCCTGTCCCTTCCTTTTTCTCCTCGGGAGCTCACAACCTTAAGAGAGGACATCTACCGGGGCTTTTTCCAGGCACCCTGAGAAAGAGCAAGAAAGGGCTGCCACTTCCTTTAAAGATACTGATTCAGACTGACTGGTCCTTCCTTTCCTCTGGGAGCTCCCCGCCCCCCTCCCCCACTAAAACCACAAAGTGTTGTTTTACGCAGAACCTTAACTGGTCAGAGTCGACCTCGCAGTGTCTGCAGTTAGGGGCTCCCACTCTCTGTGACTCTCTAACCAGGCCTCTGTGTCCTTTGGGTGTGGGGCCACCGCAGGTCTGGTCTCTGTGTTGGGTATATGACAGCCAGGAGGGAGCTCAGGGTCAGCCGGAGCCAGTTGCCCTAGGTATATGACCCGGGTGTTTTGTGGGACTGACTGGTGGAGTCTTTGACATCCTTTTGAAAAAGAAAAGAAAGCAGAGTGGCTTTTGATATTTTGATGGAGTTCAGCAAAACGGTGTGTCCTGTCTCCTGTCGTTGGGATCTTAGCGGGTTTATCTGCCAGCTCAGGTTACTGTTTTAAGTCTCTTAGAACAGCAGGAGGATGAAGTGTCTGTTCTAACTTGTGCAGAGAAAATGAGTTTTTAATTACTTCTGCCAACCTCGGAACTGCCGGTCTTGGAGGCATTTGTGTGGCGGAAGGATTCCACCTGTAGGAGTGGGTGATAGGCTTTCTGTGGCTGTTTTTGGAGGGAGTGTGTGGATGGGGTTGGCGGCTCTGATCGGCTTGGATCTTGTAGAAACTTAGGTTTATGATTGAAGGTTACTTAGGCTTATGAGTGAAGGGGCCGGGGAATTTGTAGTGTTAGAAACCTTTAACGTGTGGAGGAGGTAAGCAGATGTGTACAGTTCCAGAAGACAGAAAGGAATGTTCTCCAGCCCCCCTCTGCAGCTAGTAGAAGTCCTGATTTTCCTGTTATATCCAGAATCTCCTGAAACTTCTCCATCCTTATCTCAGCCGCAGGAACGTAGAGTCTGTTGTGTTAGGCCCGGGCGGTGGTGGCTTTGAGTGGCTGTGGCCCTGTTTGGTAGAAGTTGGTTTGTGCGATTTGACACTGAGCAAATGACCCAGGCTTTCTCCAGCGGGAGGAAGCAGTGGAGCTTGTCTGGTGAGGGGCAGGCTGCATTATTCACACCTTGAGTGAGATGCTTGTCTGATGACTTGCAGAGCTGGCTGTTTGTGACGAGGACAAGAGCAGTGGACCAGGAGTAGGACTTTGGTTTTGGTGCCCACTTTACCCTTTAAGCTTGTTCTGTCCCTGGGCCTCGGGCTCCTGATTTGGAGAGTTTCTTAGGTCCCTTGTTAATATCACTGACAACTCCGTGTTTGAATAGGGCTTTATTGGTTGACATAGGACTTGTATGTCTGTTCTCATTTTAATACAGAATGTCGGAGTGACCATACAAAATCTTTAGTGGGGGGTGAGGCAGGCATTTCTAGGCCTGCTTCCTTCTTTCCCTTTGCTGACAGGTGCTTCTGTGAAGAGGGCCCTCTACTGCAATGTGAAAGGACTGGATACTTGGTTGTCCATGACCTGTCCTTTGCCTAACTGATTTGTGTTTTTTGGTGCATGGAGGGAGGAGTGGTTCTTGCATAAGAATTCCTTGAGGGAGGGCTTGGGTGGGAGTGGGGGTGAGGTGGGAAGGGTGGAGGTGCGGGCTCTGGGATTAAGAGCCTGTAAAGTTCCTATTGCCAGAGTCTTCCAAATCGCGGCATATATGAATCATAGTTGTGTTCTGACTTTGGCACTTGAACCTTTTTTAGGATATGCAGCCATTTTGGTTTGGGTGGTAAAAAGGAAACAGATTAGAACAGTATGGATTCTCGTCCACAT